>NC_000010.11:16070606-16222121 GCF_000001405.40 Homo sapiens | reverse complement strand
ACATGTATTTTAAATTTTTAAACTTTAAAAAATAACTCAAGGTTCTCAGAAAAATCAGAAAATCAAAGCCTCACAAATAGTAAAGTATATATTAAATATCAGAACAAATGATGATTTTTATGGCAGTATATTTAGGAATATTAGAAAATTTAAAAAATGGAGAATAAATGCGTATAAGTGCCTCACTTAAGATATTAATAAAACAGGCTGGGCACAATGGCTCACGCCTGTAATCCCAACACTTTGGGAGGCCAAGGCAGGCAGATCACGAGGTCAGGAGATCGAGACCATAGCTAACATGGTGGAACACCATCTGTACTAAAAATACAAAAAAACAAAATTAGCCGGGCATGGTGGTGGGTGCCTGTAGTCCCAGCTACTCGGGAGGCTGGGGCAGGAGAATGGCATGAACCCAGGATGTGGAGCTTGCAGTGAGCCGAGATCGCACCACTATACTCCAGCCTGGGCAACAGAGCAAGACTCCGTCTCAAAATAAATAAATAATAAAAAAAAATAAAACAGCACAGTAAATCTAAAGAAAACAAAAAATATAAGACAATGAATAATATGAAATTTAAAAAAACCTAATAGGACACAACCAAAAATCATTTAAAGGAATTAATGACACAGCCAAATCTATGTTTTAAAACATTTTGAAAAGTTTAATGAGACTGAAAATAAGAATTTGGGCCGAAAATTAGAAGCTCTTAGAATGGAAATCATTGAAATTAGGTACTAAATGGATGGATCTAAATTGATGTAATAGTAAATTACAGAGAATTGGTTAAGAGGATAACTCCAAAAAATACATTAAGAATAAAGCATAGAGAAAAAAAGGAATAGAAAAATAATAGAACTGGATACACAATGACATAAAAGATACAGTGAGAAAGTCTAGGAAATATGCAAATATCCAGAAAAGAAAGAATGGGCAGAAGCAACGTTTGAAGACATTATGGCTGGGAATTTTCTCAAACGAATGGAAGACATCAAGCCACAGAGTCAAGGAGCCCTAATAATCCTAAGCAAACTTTAAAAAATAAAAATAGCTTAAAGAGAAAAAGCAAATATAATCCATTCTAAACAGAAAAATTATTTGATAACTTTGAACTCCAGCATGAGAATCTCTCGAATAAAAGGGAATCCCTTATAATGATAATAGGCATCTATCTAAAGCCTACAGAAACACATTTCATGGTGAAGTAGAATTGTCTTTAACATAAGAGTGAGGGTAAACCTTTTCGATTACTACTTGTATTCAATAAGCATGGAAGTCTTGGGTAGTATCCCAAGAAAAGAAAGAATCATAAAGGAAGTAAAACTCTTATCATTTGTACACATGGTGTTTCTCTAGAAAATCCAGAAAAGTCTATAAACTACTGCAAAAATAATGACTTTTAAAGGCACACTGAATATACTATCAGATGCTAAAATTGATAGGCCCCAAAAGTAATCAAATAGAAAATATAGAGGCAATGCTAAAAAAATTCAATTCACAGTATCAATGAATACTACCAGTTTTCTAGGAATAACAAAGGATGCATATCACCTTTATGGAGAAAAATTTAAAACTTTTTCAAAGGATATAAGAGAAGATGTAATGAAAATGGATATACTCATGCCTCATGTATGAGAAGACTATTATAAAGATGATTATCCCATACAAATTAACCTCTAAATTCAGTGAATTCCAAAAACATAGGATTCTTGTGAGTGCTATGAGAAATTCCTACAACGCCTGTGGCTTAAAACAATAGAAATTATTTTCTCATGGTTTGGGAGGCCAGAAGTACAAAATACATCGCTAGACTGAAATCAAGGTGTTGGTAAGGTTCTGTAACCCCAGACCTCTAGGGGAGGATTTGTGCCCTGTTGCCTTCTGCAATTCCTTAGCTTGAGGCTCCATCACCTCAGTCTCTATCCTCATGTTGCCCTCTCTTCTGTTTGTTTATGTGTCTAAATGTCCCTCTACCTCCCTCTTTTAGGATACATGTAATTGTATTTAGGGCCCAACTAAGTAATCTAGGATAATCTCCCTATCTCAAGATTTTTAACCCAATCACATCTGCAAAGATTCTTTTTTTCCACCAATATGGAAAGATTCACAGTTCTAGGAATGAGAATATGGATATCTTTTGGGGTAGGGGGATTTTTTGGCCTCCCACAATCTGGACTCTAGTCTCCAGAGATTCATGTACATCTCACACACAAAGTGTATTCAACCCATTCCAATATTCCCAAAAGTCTCAACCCATACAGCATCAACTGAAGTCCAAAATCTCACCCAACTATCATCAATTTAAAAGTCTCAAATCTCTTTGGTTCTGTTTATATGCTGGATTACGTTTATTGATTTGCATATGTTGAACTAGCCTTGCATCCCAGGAATGAAGCCCACTTGATCATGGTGGATAAGCTTTTTGATGTGATGCTGTATTTGGTTTGCCAGTATTTTATTGAGGATTTTTGCATCTATGTTCATCAGGGATATTGGTCTAAAATTCTCTTTTTTTGTTGTTGTGTCTCTGTCAGGCTTTTGTATCAGGATGATGCTGGCCTCATAAAATGAGTTAGGGAGGATTCCCTCTTTTTCTATTGATTGGAATAGTTTCAGAAGGAATGGTAGCAGCCCCTCCTTATACCTCTGGTAGAATTCGGTTGTGAATCCATCTGGTCCTGGGCTTTTTTTGGTTGGTAGGCTATTAATTATTGCCTCAATTTCAGAGCTTGTTATTGGTCTATTAAGAGATTCAACTTCTTCCTGGTTTAGTCTTGGGAGGGTGTATGTGTTGAGGAATTTATCCATTTCTTCTAGATTTTCTAATTTATTTGCATAGAGGTGTTTATAGTATTCTCTGATGGTAGTTTGTATTTCTGTGGGATCAGTGGTGATATCCCCTTTATCATTTTTTATTGCATCTATTTGATTCTTCTCTCTTTTCTTCTTTATTAATCTTGCTAGTGGTCTATCAATTTTGTTGATCTTTTCAAAAACCAGCTCCTGGATTCATTGATTTTTTGAAGGGTTTTTTGTGTCTCTATCTCCTTCAGTTGTGCTCCGATCTTAGTTATTTCTTGCCTTCTCCTAGCTTTTGAATTTGTTTGCTCTTGCTTCTCTAGTTCTTTTAATTGTGACGTTAGGGTGTCAATTTTAGATCTTTCCTGCTTTCTCTTGTGGGCATTTAGTGCTATAAATTTCCCTCTACAGACTGCTTTAAATGTGTCCCAGAGATTCTGCTATGTTGTGTCTTTGTTCTCATTGGCTTCAAAGAACATCTTTATTTCTGCCTTCATTTCGTTATGCACCCAGTAGTCATTCAGGAGCAGGTTGTTCAGTTTCCATGTAGTTGAGTGGTTTTGAGTGAGTTTCTTAATCCTGAGTTCTAGTTTGATTGCACTGTGGTCTGAGAGACAGCTTGTTATAATTTCTGTCCTTTTGCATTTGCTGAGGAGTGCTTTACTTCCAAGTATGTGGTCAATTTTGGAATAGGTGTGGTGTGGTGCTGAGAAGAATGTATATTCTGTTGATTTTGGGTGGAGAGTTCTGTAGATGTCTATTAGGTCTGCTTGGTGCAGAGCTGAATTCAATTCCTGGATATCCTTGTGTCTCAAAAGATGCAGAAAAGGCCTTCAACAAAATTCAACAGCACTTCATGCTAAAAACTCTCAATAAATTAGGTATTAATGGACGTATTTAAAAATAATAAGAGCTATTTATGACATACCCACAGCAAATATCATACTAAATGGGCAAAAAGTGGAAGCATTCCCTTAGAAAATTGGCACAAGACAGGGACGCCCTCTCTCACCACTCCTATTCAACATAGTGTTGGAAGTTCTGGCCAGGGCAGTCAGGCAGAGAAAGAAATAAAGGGTATTAAATTAGGAAAAGAGGAAGTCAAATTGTCCCTGTTTGCAGATGACATGATTGTATATCTAGAAAACCCCATCATCTCAGCCCAAAATTTCCTTAAGCTGATAAGCAACTTCAGCAAAGTCTCAGGATACAAAATCAATGTGCAAAAATCACAAGCATTCTTATACACCAATAACAGACAGAGAGCCAAATCATGAGTGAACTCCCATTCACAATTGCTTCAAAGAGAATAAAATACCTAGGAATCCAACTTACAAGGGATGTGAAGGACCTCTTCAAGGAGAACTACAAACCACTGCTCAATGAAATAAAAGAGGACACAAACAAATGGAAGAACATTCCATGCTCATGGATAGGAAGAATCAATATCATGAAAATGGCCATACTGCCCAAGGTGATTTATAGATTCAATGCCATCCCCATCAAGCTACCAATGACTTTCTTCACAGAACTGGAAAAAACTACTTCAAAGTTCATATGGAACCAAAAAAGAGCCCGCATCGCCAAGTCAATCCTAAGCCAAAAGAACAAAGCTGGCGGCATCACGCTACCTGACTTCAAACTATACTACAAGCCTACAGTAACCAAAACAGCATGGTATTGGTACCAAAACAGAGATATAGACCAATGGAACAGAACAGAGACCTCAGAAATAATACCACACATCTACAATGATCTGATCTTTGACAAACCTGTCAAAATCAAGAAATGGGGAAAGGATTCCCTATTTAACAAATGGTGCTGGGAAAACTGGCTAGCCATATGTAGAAAGCTGAAACAGGATCCCTTCCTTACACCTTATACAAAAATTAATTCAAGATGGATTAAAGACTTAAATGTTAGACCTAAAACCATATAATCCCTAGAAGAAAACCTAGGCAATACCATTCAGGACATAGGCATGCTCAAGGACTTCATGTCTAAAACACCAAAAGCAATGGCAACAAAAGCCAAAATTATCAGATGGGATCTAATTAAACTGAAGAGCTTCTGCACAGCAAAAGAAAGTACCATCAGAGTGAACAGGCAACCTACAGAATGGGACAAAATTTTTGCAATCTACTCATCTGACAAAGGGCTAACATCCAGAATCTACAAAGAACTCAAACAAATTTACAAGAAAAAAACAAGCCCATCAACAAGTGGGCAAAGGATATGAACAGACACTTCTCAAAAGAAGACATTTAGGCAGGCAAAAGACACATGAGAAAATGCTCATCATCAGTGGCCATCAGTGAAATGCAAATCAAAACCACAATGAGATACCATCTCACACCAGTTAGAGTGGCAATCATTAAAAAGTCAGGAAACAACAGGTGCTAGAGAGGATGTGGAGAAATAGGAACACTTTTACACTGTTGGTGGGACTGTAAACTAGTTCAACCATTGTGGAAGACAGTGTGGCGATTCCTCAGGGATCTAGAACTAGAAATACCACTTGACCCAGCCATCCCATTACTGGGTACATACCCAAAGGAATATAAATCATGCTGCTATAAAGACGCATGCACACGTATGTTTATTGCGGCACTACTTACAGTAGCAAAGACTTGGAACCAACCAAAATGTCCAACAATGATAGACTGGATTAAGAAAATGTGGTACCTATACACCGTGGAATACTATGCAGCTATAAGAAATGATGAGTTCCTGTCCTTTGTAGGGACATGGATGAAGCTGGAAAGCATCATTCTCAGCAAACTATCCCAAGGACAAAAAAACCAAACACCGCATGTTCTCACTCATAGGTGGGAATTGAACAATGAGAACACTTGGACACAGGAAGGGGAACATGACACACTGGGGCCTGTTGTGGGGTGGGGGGAGGGGGGGAGGGATAGCATTAGGAGATATACCTAATGTAAATGAAGAGTTAATGGGTGCAGCACACCAACATGGCACATGTATACATATGTAACTAACCTGCATGTTGTGCACATGTACCCTAGAACTTAAAGTATAATTATATATATATATGAAAAAAATGTCTCAAATCTCATCATCTCAATCAGATATGGGTGGGGCGCAGTGGCTCATGTCTGTAATCCCAGTACTTTGGGAGTCCGAGGTGGGCAGATCACTTGAGATCAGGAGTTTGAGACCAGCCTGGCCAACATGGTGAAACCCTGTTTTTACTAAAAATACAAAAATTAGCCCAGCATGTTGGCACATGCCTGTAATCCCAGGTCCATGGGAGGCTGAGGCAGGAGAATAACTTGAACCTGGGAGGCAGAGATTGCAGTTAGCCGAGATCGTGCCACTGCACTCCAGCCTAGGTGACAGAGTGACTCCGTCTCAAAAAAATAAAAAAATAAAAAGTCAGGTATGGGTGAAACTCTGGGTGTGATCTATGCTGGGTCAAAATATGATAGTGCTGAAGAGATTAGGCATGTAACCCATGGATCACTTTAAACATCTCAAAATTTGTATCTGTAGATCAGTGAAATTAGAAAACAAGTTACCTGCTTGTAAAATACAATGGTGACACAGGCATAGTGTAAGAGTTACAGACATTTGCATTCCAAAAGGTAGAAAATGAAGGAATAAAGGGGTCATTTGTCCCAAGCAATTTCAAAGTCTAGTAAACAAATTCCATTGGGTTTCAAGACCTGAAAGCAATGCCCTGAGAGTTCCTGGCTCTGGTTTATTTCCCCGTGATTGCAGCACCAGCCTCTAGACCCAAAGCTCTTCCCTCCGTCATTCTTCCTTTTTCTTTAGTGTAGCATATGCTTGTAGCTGAATAGTTTTATTAGCCTGTTTCCATCTGGTAGTTACTTTAGTCCCACCAGACAGTGTTTCTTCTGGCATAGCATTCTTAAAAATTCCGTGGGTCTCTTATGTGTGTTATGGGGATTCATGCCATTAATCAAGAGGTTCATATACAAATCTTCCCTGGAAAATCACATCTCTATTCTCAGCTTCTGCTGAGATGTTTGAAGTGATCCATGAGTTACATGGCCAGTCTCTTCAGCACTATCTAATGTTATCCAACCCCACTTTTGGTTTTTCTGAAGCACACTTTCTTAACAGTGACTCTTCCTATTTTAGCATCTTTTGCAATCTGGATAGGTTGAGAATTTCCCAAATTACCGAGTTCTGGTTCCATTTTGCTTAATATTTCATTTCTCAATTTATCCCTTTCCTCTCACATTTTAGTGTAAACTTCAAGAAGAAATCAGACTGCACCTTCAACACATCACTTGAAAATATTCTCAGATAAATGTCCAGGTTCATCCATGTAGAAGGTACAAGTTCTACTTTCTACCTGATGGTGGAACACAATTTGGCTGTTATCTGCCACTTGATAACAGTTAGCATCTTTCTTCCCTTTTCCAATAACATGCTCCGTATTTTCTTTGGAAACTTAACAACAGTGTCTTCAACATTCACATGTCTACAAACATTCTGTTTATGGTAATATATCTTTAAGATGATATAGACATTTTCTACTGTGTTACCAGTTTCTTCTGGGGCCTTACAATGGCCCCTTTAACATCCATATTTCTACCAGAAGTATGTGTAAGGCAGTCAATGCTTTTTCTATCATGCACCACAAAATTCTTCACAACTCTATTCAGTGTCAGATTCCAAATCCACTTCCACATTTTTAGGTATTTGTTTCAGCAGCACTCTACTTCCAGGTACCAAAATTTGCATTAGTTTCCTATGGCAGCTGTAACAAATCACCATAGTCTTGGTGGCTTAAACAGAAATTTATTCTTTCACATTTCTGAAATTCAGAAGTCCAAAGTCGGTATCACTGGGCTGAAATCAAGATGTTGGGAGGGCCGTGTTCCCTCTGGAGGCTCTAGGAGAGAATCTGTTCCTTGCAGACTGTCATCCCTTGGGTTGTAGCTGCATCACTCCAATCTGCCTCTGTCTTCATGTCATATTCTCATGTGTGTGCGCCTAAATTTGTTTCTGCCTCCTCGCTACAAGGATGCTTGCAATTACATTTGTAATCCATCTAGATAATCCAGGATAATGTTCCCATCTTTAGATCCTTAACCTCATCATTTCTGCAAATACCCTTTTTCCAAATAAGGAAAAATTCACAGGTTCCAAAGATTATGACAGGAATGTCTTGAGGCAGGAGAGGATATGTTCTAGCCTACCATAATATCCTAACAGTATGTCTTTGAGATTGACAAATAGATCCTAAAATTCATATGGAAAAACAAAAGTATCAAGACCAGACAAAATAATTTTGAAGAAAGAGAATAAGAATGTAGTGACTCATCTTTTGAGATATTAAAACTTATACATTTAAGAAATGAGACATCATGTTATGATGGGAAGATTAAACAAATAGACTAGTGGATTGAAATAGATATTTCAGAGAGTGACCTATGAAGATAAGGGAATTTGGTGATGACAGAGTTGGCAGTACACATCAAAGTGCAAAAGATGGATTATTCAATACATGATATTTGGTCAATTAGCTCTCCAGATGGTAGAAAGTAAAATTAAATTTCTACCCAATGTGACATACAATACCTTCCATATGGATTAAAGATCTCAGTGTTACTAGTAAAACTTCAGTCTTTTAGATGAAAATATCTTTATTAACTTGAAGCAAGATAGGATTGTTTAATTAAGAAATGAAATCTTACACCTTAACGTAAAAAAGAGAGTAAATAAACAACAAGTTGCTCAGTCATAATTCACATCCATTTCTATGGCAAAACGAAAAGTTTCATAGTATCGTATAGGTGAAGCTGTTAGCAAGTGAAAACTTGTATAAGTTGCTATAAATTGCTGTAATCATGTTGGTAAGTTATTTGTCATTACGTAGTAACACTGAAGATGTGCATATTCTATGACTTAGAAATTTTACGACTAGGTTTATATCCTAGTCGATGTAAACCTCTTTGAGCAGTGCTGTTCAAAAGAATTCTTTGTGATGATGGAAATGTTTTCTATTAGTACTGTCCAATAGGGTAGTCACAGTTCAGAAGGTGACTAATAGAGCTTATGAGTACCTGAAGTGTGGTTAGTGTAACAAATGAATGCTTTTTTATATTTTCAATAATTAAAATTTAAATCATACCTGTGGCTAAAGGATACTGTATTGTTCATCACAGCTTTAGAAAAACTCTCATAGGTGTATAAAGACATGTCTGGAAAAATGGACAATGCTGCATTTTCCATAAGAGCTATAAATGGGAAACATTGTAAATAAGGAAACAAGTAAATCTGGGTACTCATGGGCAGTTAAGTTGAATGAACTAGAACTATACTTACTACACTGATTGGGGTGAACACCAAGCTGCTGTAACAATGAGAACCTAAAATTCTCTGGCAGAAATAATTTAAGTTCACATACCTTTCTCACATAACTAAGTCTGTGTAACGGTCCAGTTTGGTGGGATAGATCTGTCATTTGAGAACTCAGTCTCTTCTATCTTTTGTTCTGCCATAACCTAGGGGCATAGTCCTCATCTCCATGATCAAAGCTAGATGATGAGCGAGATCACATGCAAGATGGCAGGAAAAGAAAAGACAGGAGGAATCAGATATCTATTTCCTTTTAAGAAAGTGAGCAAGGAGTTGCACGTGTTATTTCTGCTAGCATTCTATAAAACCCTAGTCACATGCGAGCTGCAAAATGTAGTCACAAGAAAGCTATGACTTCTGAAAGAAAAAGCGTATTTGGAGAGACAGCAGCTGTATGCTTTGGTCTCCTTTACTGGCCATCCAAATATCTGTGCACATATTTCTTCCCAGCCTTAGAACATTCATTTCACAAGATAGGCAATTCAAAGTCTCAGCCAGTTATGGCAAACAGTTCAAATCCACAATTTCTGGATGAGATGTGGTTGTCTCCATTGGGCCTGAGCGTGTCTCCTCATGGCCTGGCAACCTGTGAAGGCAAATTGTTGTCAGACTATCCTCCTAGAGTATAACATAGACACACCTAGAATGTGATAGTGGGGAAGAACTGCAATGGCTCTCCCTTCAGTGACCCATAGAAGTTATCAAATACTGGCAGCCGGTCACTGCAGACTCCTTGCCTGGTAGAGAGGTAAGTTGCTTGCTTCGCCCATCTGCCTGTACCTCGATCTACTCTCTCTTTATTTTCTCTCCGTTTTTTAAATAGAGACAGGACCTTGCTCTGTCACCCAGGCTGGAAGGCAGTGGCACCATCATAGATCACTGCAGCCTCTCAACCTTCCCAGCTCAAGTGAACTTCCCGCCTTAGCCTCCTTAGTAGCTGTGACCACAGGCATGCATTACCACACCTGCCTAATTTTTTGAATTTTTGTAGAAATGGGATCTCATGATGCTGCTCAGCTTGGTCTTGAACTCCTGGCCTCCAGTGATCCTCCTGTCTCAACCTCCCAAAGTGCTGGGATTACAAGCATGAGCCACCATACCGGGCCCTGGTTCTACTGTCTTGTAGAGTAATTCCTTTTACTATTTTTCCCCCGGGTCCTTGTCTTGCCCTCTGACAGTTTCTCTATCCGTTATCATCTTGGGTCACATATGAAGTGGACATTGGAGAGTAAACCATTCTTTGGTACTTCAAGGGTGAAACAATCATGGAATTTTGCTAGTCAAACTTTTGGGTTTTTTTTTTTTTTTTTGATAGTATAATCTTCTCAAAAATGTTGTAGGCTTCTAATCCATTTACTTCCTGTTGGTTGCTCCAATGATCACACTGAAAATTCCTTATCGACAGTTTTCTTAAACTGTACCTCCTTTATTTTCTGACTTCTGTGTTCCAGTGACACACTAAAGAAGAGGAGGCATTGGAGGCGGCCCAAGGTGAAGGCCATAGAGAATTTAAAAGGAAAACAGATCAAAAGATGGGCTGCTATTTATTTTCTCCATACTCTGGAAATTCTAAACAATTTCTGTGATAAAATATACCCCTAGCCAGGGCAGAAAACTTCTACATCTCCCAATTTCTGAGGGACACATGACTTACCTATTCTTCTCTCCCTCAATATGATGCTTGTTCCCCTAAGATCATTGAAAATGATAAGCTTTTATGGGAAGGTAACAGCCTTAATTTTATGTTTGCCCCAGGCTTTTCTGTGTTTGACTGAAAATTCTTAGTCACTGAATTGTAATAATCTGTGCCTGTACAGTGCCTGTGATGGACTTGGAAAGCATTTGACCTGGATTCCAAGTTATCAAAGACAGTAGTTGCACCAAATGTCTTTTTTTTCTTTTCTTTCTTTCTTTTTTTTTTTTTTTTTTGAGGCAGAGTCTTACTCTCTCACCCAAGTTGGAGTGCAGTGGCATGATCTCACCTCACTGCAAACTCCACCTCCCAGATTCAAGCAATTGTCCTGCCTCAGCCTCCCCAGTAGCTGGGATTACAGGCATGTGCCACCACGCCTAGCTAATTTTTGTATTTTTAGAAGAGATGGTTTTCACCGTGTTGGCCAGGGTGGTCTCTAACTCCTGGCCTCAAGCAATCCTTCCACCTTGGGATCCCAAAGTGCTGGGATTACAGGCATGAGCCCCTGTGCCCAGCCCCAAATGTCTTAACTATAGCACACCAAAAGCCACTTGTTTCTTAGTCTACAATGTTGTTTTCTTGCTGTCAGGCACCTGGCCAAATGATAACTGCAACCTACTTTTGATTTTTATGATGGTGGTATTTCACTTGTCATACCAATATTTTAAAATGCTGAAAATATAAGAACAATTGAACAAGGAGTATAGAGCAATACAGCTGAGTAGAAGTCTACACTATTCATCCCCCACCCTACAGGAACACCAAATTTTAACAACTAACTACACATGAAAAGCACCATTATAAGAGCCAAAAAAGGTGAGCAATCACAATACCTGGTTTTAACTTTATATCGCTGAAAGAGTCATTGAAAAGGGCAGGAAAGACAGTCTTGCATTGCCTACACCACCCCTCCCCTATCCCCTTGCAGTGGTGATGGAGAATCTGTGCTCTTGGGAGAGGGAGAGCGCAGCGATTGTGAGGCTTTGCATTGATCTTGGTGTTGCCCTGTCACAATGAAGAGCAGAACCAAGCTGTGCTCAGCTGATGTCCACCTATGGAGGAAGAATTTGGACTGGCCCTAGCCAGAGAGGAATCACTCATCCCAGAGGTTAGGGCTTGAGTTCTGGCAAGCCTTGCCACCGCAGGTTTTAGTGTTCAGGGGGCCCTAAGTGAACTTGAGGTATAGTCTAGGCCACATGGACTGCAATTTCTAGGGAAGATATAGTGCTGAACCCAGTGGACTGGGGAAGCATGAGACCTATTGAGACACCAGCCAGGGGAGCTAAGGGAGTGCTTGTGCCAATCCTCTGCCACCCTCTGGCAGCAGCCACATGGCACAGAGAAATTGCACACTTGGGAGAGGAAGAGCACAGTGACTGGGGACTTTACGTTGAACTCAGTGCTGCCGTGTCACCTGGCAGGATTCATCATCTGCTGACTACAGAGCCCCTGCACCTTGAATAACCAACAGTAATACCCAGGTAATACACTGTAAGCACTGGATTCTCAGGCCTGTTGGCTTCACATATGACCCAGCGCATTCCCAGCTGTGGTGGCTATGGCGAAAGACTCTTTCTGTTAAAGAAAAGGAGAGAGGAAAGTAAAGGGCACTCTGTCTTGCACATTAGATGCCAGCTCAACCACAGTGGGGATGAGCACCAAGCAGGCTCTTGGGGTCTTCGAATCCAGGTCTAGGCTCTTGGTCAGCTTTTCTGGACCTGCCTGGGCCAGAGGAGAGCCCACTGCCCTGAAGGGTGAGTCTCAGGTCTGGCAGCACGCATCACAAGCTGACTGAAGAGCACTTGGGCTTTGAGAGGGAAGAGTGAGAAGGGCTTTGTCTTGTGATGTGAGTGCCAGCTTAGCTACAGTAGACTAGGACACCAGGTAAATTTCTAAAGGTTTTGACTTCAATCCCTGGCTCCAGACAGCATCTCTGAACCCACCTGGGGCCTGGGGGAACTCATTGCACTGAAGGGAAGGACACAAACCTGGCTGGCTTTGCCACCTGCTGATTGTAGAGCCGTAGGGCCTTGAGCAAACTTAGGCAGGTAGTTGTTACAGTGGGCCTTGTGTGAGACTAGTGCTGTGCTGGCTTCAGGTCTGAACTAAAACGGTCTCAGTGGTGGTGGCCACAAAGGTGCTTGTGTTTCCCCACCCCGAGTTCCAGGAGGCCCAGCACAAAGAAAGAGAGACTTTGTTTGGGAAAAAGTAAGGGAAAATAAAAATGTCTGTGCCTGGTAACCCAGAGAATTCTTCCAAATCTTATCCAAGACTACCAAGGCAGTAACTCTATGAGTCTGCAAGAACCACAGCATTGTTGGTTTTGGGGCCCAAGTCCCTTTGAATAACTGGAATGCCTTCTCAAGAAGGTTGGGTACAAATAAGCTCAGACTGTGACATCTGCAATAACTGCCTAATTACTCAATGCCGAGACAATGGTGATCATCTACAAGCATCAAGATCATCCAAGAAAATATGACCTCACCAAATGAATTGAATAAGGTACTAGGGACCAATCCTGGAGAAACAGATAGGTATGACCTTTCAGACAGAGAATTCAAAATAGCTATGCTGAGAAAGCACAAAGAAATTTAAGATAACACAAAGAAAGAATTCAGGATTCAATCAGATAAATTTAACAAAGAGGTTGAAATTATTAAAAAGAATCAAGTAGAAATTATAGAGTTGAAAAATGAAGCTGACATACCGAAGAATGCATCAGAATCTCTTAATATCAGAATTGATGAAGGAGAAGAAAGAATTAGTGAGCTTGAAGGCAAGCTATTTGAAAATACACAGAGGAGACAAAAAAAAGTAAAGCATAGCTACAGGATCTAGAAAATAGCCTCAACAGTGCAAATCTAAGAGTTATTGGCCTTCAAGAGGAGGCAGAGAAAGAGAAGGGGGTAGAAACTTTATTCAAAGAGATAATATCGGAGAATGTCCCAAACCCAGAGAAAGATACCAGTACCAGAAGATTATAGAACACCAAGCAGATTTAACCCAAAGAAGACTACTACAAGCATTTAATAAACTCTCAAAGGTCAAAAATAATGAAGGGATCCTAATAGCAGCAACAGAAAAGAAATAAGATACAATGGAGCTCCAATACATCTGGAAGCAGACTTTAGAGTGGAAATCTTTACAGGCCAGAGAGAGTGACATGATATATCTAAAGTGTGGAAGGAAAAATTTTTTACACTAGAATAGTATGTCTGGTGAAAATATCCTTTAAGCATGAAGGAGAAATAAAGACTTTCCCAGACAAAGAAAAGCTGAAAGATTTCATCAACACCAGGCCTGTTCTACAAGAAGGGCTACAGGGATTAATTCAATTAGAAAAGAACATGCTTGTTTCTGTAGCACATATACTAAAATTGGAATGATACAGAGAAGATTAGCATGGCCCCTGTGCAAGGATGACATGCAAATTCGTGAAGCATTCCGTATTTTTTCATGACCAAGAACCCAAAAACAAATGTATTAAAAACAAAGATAAATAGTTGGGACTTAATTAAATTAAAGAGCTTTTGCATGGCAAAAGGAACAGTCAGCGGAGTAAACAGACAACCCACAGAGTGAGAGAAAATCTTCACACTCTATATATCTGACAAAGGGCTAATATCTGGAATCTACAAGGAACTCAAACAAATCAGTAAGGAAAAAACAATCCCATCAAAAAGTGGGCTAAGAACAGGAATAGACAATTCTCAAAAGAAGATACACAAAAGGCCAAGAAACATATGAAAAAATTCCCAACATCACTAATAATCTTGGAAATGCAAATCAAAACCACAGTGCAATGCCACCTTACTCCTGCAAGAATGGCCACAATAAAAAAATCAAAAAACAGATGTTGGCATGGATGCAGTGGACAGGGAACACTTCTACATTGCTGGTGGGAATGTAAACTAGTAAACCCACTATAGAAAACAGTGTGGAGATTCCTTAAAGAACTAAAAGTAAAACTAACATTTAATTCAGCAATCCCAATACTGGGTATCTACCCAGAGGGAAAGAAAACATATGAAAAAGATACTTGCACATGCATGCTTATAGCAGCACAGTTCGCAATTGCAAAATGGTGGAACCAACCAAAATGGCCATCAATCAACAAGTGGATAACGAAACTGGTATATTTATATGATGGAATACTACTAAGCCATAAAAAGGGATGAATTAATGGCATTTGCAGTGACCTGGATGAGATTGGAGACTGTTATTCTAAGTGAAGTAACTCAGGAATGGAAAACCAAACATCATATGTTCTCACTGATATGTGGGAACTAAGCTATGATACAATGGACTTTGGGGACTTAGGGGGAAGAGTGGGAGGGGGGCAAGGGATAAAAGACTACAAATAAGCTGCAGTGTATACTGCTCAGGTGAGGAATAAAAGACTACAATGGGGTACAGCGTATACTGCTTGGGTGATGGGTGCACCAAAATCTGACAAATTGCCACTAAAGATCTTACTCGTGAAACCAAATACCACCTGTACCCCAATAACTTATGGAAAAAAAAATAAAGAGTAGTACTTTAGCACAAATTTAAAAAAAGGAACGTTAGTGAGCAAACCTAAAGGCACAAAACACACTGGTAATAATGATACACAGAAAAATAGAGAATATTATAACACTGTAACTATGTTGTTTAAACTACTCTTATCCTAAATAGAAAGACTAAAAGATGAACCACTCAAAGGTAATAACTACAACTTTTTAAGACATAGTACAAGAAGATATAAACAAAAACAACAAAAAGCTAAAAAGCAGGGAACAAAGTAAAATTTAGAGTTCTTATTAGTTTTCTTTTTGTTTATGTATACAGTGTTAAGTTTTTATCAGCTTACAATCATGGGTTATAAAATAGTATTTGCAAGCCTCATGGTAACTTCAAATTGAAAAACATAATGGATACATAAAAAATAAAAAGCAAGAAATTAAGTCATACCACCAATCACCTTTGATAAAAAGAAGATAGAAAGGAAGGAGAGAAGGATGAGAACACCACCACCACCAACAAAAACCCAGAAAACAAATAACGAAATTGCATGAGTAAGTCCTTACTTATCAATAATAACATTGAATATAAATGGACTAAACCCTCTAATGAAAAGATTCAGAGGGCTGAATGGATGAAAAAGCAAGACCCAATAATCTGTTGCCTACAAGAAACACACCACTTGATCTATAAATATACACATAGATTGGAAGGGATGGAAAAAGATATTCCACATCAGTGAAAACCAAAAAGAAAAAAAAAAAGAAAATCAGAAGTAGCTATACATATATCAGACAAAATAGATTTCAAAACAAATCTATAAGAAGAGAAAGAGGTCAGTTTACCAAGATACAAGAACTGTAATTATATATGCAGCCAACACTGGAGCACCAAGATACATAAGGCAAATATTATTAGACTAAAGACAGAAATGGAGCTTAATACCATCAATAATAGCATCCCACTTCAGCATCCCACTTTTAGCATCAGACAGGTCTTCCAGACAAAAAATCAACAAAGAAACATTAGACTTCTGTACTACAGAACAAATGGATCTAATAGATACTTGCAGAACATTTCATTCAATGGCTGGAGAATCCACATTCTTCTTCTGAGCACATAGATTATTCTTAAAGATAGAACATATGTGAACATATTTCAGGTCATAAAACACACAAGGCAAGTCTTTTTTTTTTCGAGACAGAGTCTCTGTCACCTAGGCTGGGGTGCAGTGGCATGATCACAACTCACTGCAGCCTTGACCTCTTGGGCTTAAGCAATCCTCCCACATTAGCATCCTAAGTATCTGGGACTACAGTTGCATGCCATGACACCTGACTAGTTTTTGTCTTTTTTGCAGATATAAGGTTTTACCATTTCACCCAGACTAGTATCAAACTCCTGGACTCAAGCAATTGACCTGTGTCTGCCTACCAAAGAGCTAGGATTACAGGTGTGAGCCACTGTACCTGGCCAAAATAAATCTTAAAATTTTCAAAAAATTGAAATAATATCAAGCATCTTCTCTGCCCACAATGGAGTAAAGCTAGAAATCAATAACAAGAGAAATTTTGGAAACTATACAAACACATGGAAATTAAGCAATATGCTCTTGAATGACCAGTGGGTCAATGAAGAAATTAAGAAGGAAATTAAAAATTTTCATGAAACAAGTGATAACGGAAACACAATATACCAAAACCTATGCAATACAGTGAAAGCAGTATTAAGAGGGAAATTTATAGCTATAAGTGCTTACATCAAAATAGAAAAAAAACTTCAAATAACTTAATAATGCATTTTAGAGAACTAGAAAATCAAGAGCAAGCCAAGCCCCAAATTAGAAGAAACAAAATAATAAAGATCAGAACACAAGTAAATGAATTTAAAGTGAAAAAAGCAATACAGAAGATCAATAAAACAGAAGTTGGTTTTTTGAAGACAACATTACCCAAACTAAGAAAAAAAGACCCAAATAAAATCACAGGTGAAAAAGCAGACATTACAACTGGTACCACAAAAATTGAAAGAATCATTAGTGGCTACTATGAACAAGTGTATGCCAACAAATTGGAAAATCGAGAGGAAAAGGATAAATTCCTAGATACATGCAACCTACCAAGATTGAATCATGAAGAAATCCAAAACCTGAACAGACCAATAACAAGTACTGAAATTGAAACTGTAATAAAATGTCTCCCAGTAAAGAAAAGCGCAGGACCTGACGGCTTCACTACTGAATTCTACCAAACATTTAAAGAACTAATACCAATCCTACTGAAACTATTCTGAAAAATAGAAGAGAAGGGACCACTTCAAAACTCATTCTTTGAGGTGAGTATTACCTTCATACTACAACTAGACAAAGACACATCAAAAAAGAAAACCACAAGCCTATAACTCTGATGAATATTGATGAAAAAATCCTTCACAAAATACTAGCAAATCAAATTCAATAAAACATTAACAAGATCATTCATCATGACCAAGTGGGATTTATCCCAGGGATGCAAAGATGGTTCAAAATACATAAATCAATTAATGTGATACATCACATCAACAGAATAAAGCACAAAAACCACATGATCATTTTAATTCATGCTGAAAAGCATTTGACAAAATTCAACATTCTTCATGATAAAAACCCTCAAAAGAGTTGGTATAGAAGGAACACACATCAACATAATAAAAACCATATATGACAGACCTACAGTTAGTATCATACTGAATGAGGAAAAGCTGAAAACCTTTCCTCTAAGATCTGGAATGCAACAAAGATGTGTCCACTTTTACCACTGTTATTCAACATAGTTCTCAAAGTGCTAGCTAAAGCAACCAGAAAATAGAAATAAAGAGCATCCAAATTGGAAAGTAAGAAGTCAAATTATCCTTATTTGCAGATAATATGATTTTATATTTGGAAAAACCTGAAGACTCCACCAAAACACTATTAGAACTGATAAATTCGATAAAGTTACAGGATACAAAATCCACATATAAAAATCAGTACCAATTCTATATGCCAACAATGAACAACCTGAAAAAGAAATAAAAAATGTAATCTAATTTACAGTAACCACAAATGAAATTGAATACCTAAGAATTCACCAAGTAAGTGTAAGATCTGTATAGTGAAAACTAAAAACACTGATGAAAGAAATTGAAGACACAAAATAGAAAGGTATTCCATGTTCATGGATTGGAAGAATCAATATTGTTAAAATGTCCATAGTACCCAAAGCAATCTACAGATTCAATGTGATTCCTATCAAAATACCAATGACATTCTTCACAGAAATAGAAAAACAATCCTAAAACGTGTACGGAACCACAAAAGACCCAGAGTAGCCAAAGCTATCCTGAGAAAAAAGAAAAAAAACTGGGGGAATCATATTACCAGACTTCAAATTATGTTACAGAGGTATACTAATCCAAACAGCATTGTACTGGCATACAAACAGACACATAGATAAATGGAACAGAATAGGGAACCCAGAAATAAATCCATACACCTGCAGTGAACTCATTTTTGACGAAGGTGCCAAGAACATACATTGGAGAAAGTATACCTTCTTTAATAAATAATACTGGGAAAACTGGATATCCACATGCAGAAGAATGAAACTATGAAACTTGACCCCTATCTCTCACATTATACAAAAATCATATCAAATGGATTAAAGACTTAAATCTAAGACCTCAAACTATGAAACGACTACAAGAAAAGGTTGGGGAAAATCTCTAGGATATTGGTCTGAACAAAAATTTCTTAATAGCGCACAAGCACAGGAAACCAAAGCAAAAATGGACAAATGGGATCACAGCAAGTTAAAAAGCTTCAGCACAGTGAAGGAAACCACAAATTGAAGAGACAACCCACAGGATGAGAAAAAATATTTGCAAACTGTCCATCTGACAGGGGATTAATAACCAGAATATATAAGGAGCTCAAATGACTATATAGAAAAAAATCTAATAATCTGATCAAAAAATGGGCAAAAGAATTGAATAGCATTCTCAAAAGAAAACATACAAATGGCAAACAGCCATATGAAAAAGTATTCAACATCACTGATCATCAGAGGATTGCAAATCAAAACTACAGTATCATCTCACCCCAGTTCAAATGGCTTATATCCAAAAATAAGCAATAACAAAGGTTGGTGAGGATATGGATAGAAGGGAATCCTTGTACACTGTTGGTGGGAATGTAAATTAGTACAACCACTATGGAGGACAGTTTGGAGGTTCCTTAAAAGACTAAAAAGAGAGCTACCATACAATCCAGCAATCCCACTGCTGAGTATATACCCAAAAGAAATGAAATCAGGATATCAAAGAGATATTGTCACTCCCATGTTTGTTGCAGCACTCTTCACAATAACCAAGATTTGGAAGCAACCTAAATGTCCATCAAACAGATGATTGCATAAAGAAAATGGTACATATACACAATGGGATACTACACAGCCTTAAAAAAGAATGAGATCCTGTCATCTGCAACAACATGGATGGAACTGAAGGTCATTATGTTAAGTGAAATAAGCGAGGCACAGAAAGACAAACTTCTCATGTTCTCACTTACTTGTGGGTGTCAAAAAAAAAAAAAAATGAACTCATGGAGATAGAGAGTAGAAGGATAGTTACCAGAGGTTTGGAAGGATAGTAGGTGGTCAAGGGAAGGTGGAGATGGGTACTGGGTATCAAAAAATATATAGTTAGAAAGAATCAATAAGACCTAGTATTTGATAGCACAACAGGGGTGACTATCATCAATAATAATTTAATTGTACATTTTAAAATTACTAAAAGAATATAATTGGATTGTTTGTAACACAAAGTATAAATGCTTGAGGGACTGGACACCCCATTTCCCATGATGTGATTATTACTTACTGCATGCCTGTATCAAATATCTCATGCACCTCATAAATATATACACCTACTATGTACCCACAAACATTTTAAAAACAAAAAATGTAAGAACTTGGATGGTATGTATATACATCAATTTCAAGATAATGTTAACCTCAAGGAAGGGAAAGAAAATAGGATTCTTGGTGGACTCAACTGTATCTCCAGCATTTTATTTCTTAAAAAACTTATATTTGAAATAAATATAAAAATATTAAGCTTTTAAAAATCTGGGTCAGCGTAGGCTATCTAGTATATTACGTAATTTCTGAATATTTATAATATTTCATAACTTTAAAAAAACTCAAAACATTAAAAGCATATGTATAATGCATATGTATTTGTGTGTATATATATGTATATGTATACACACATAAATGTGTTTCAGTATGCATAGAGTATTTCTGAAAATATTTACAAGAACTGGGGAAGGAGATGGTGGTACTAGTCTACTGGAAGTTTAGGGAGACAGGACCTTTAAAATTTTGTACTATTTGTATGAATTTCCTTATCTAAATAAATACCTTTCTTTTTAACAAGTGAAGTAATTGCAAGTAATTATAAGGGATGTCTCACAGAGTTATCTTGCATATTTTCTGGGTATATAGATTGCTTTATGTATATTGTTTATGATGCTAACACTTTTATTTCTGTTCTTTTGGAAATCCTCAGTATAACAAGGTATTTAATGTCTAGCCTTCTTGTCTCCCTTTATTTACTCAACTTTCTTAAGAAATACTCAATGCCACTGGTATTTGATAACCCGAATATTTGGTTACTATGCCGTTATTTGCAAAAGCAAAACAACACATCCACTTTAAGAGGTAATAAGCTACAAACTCTTGGTTTTTAAAAGGCTTCTTTACAGGTGAATAGTAAATGCTACCTCCTCCCTTCATTATGTTCATTGTTGGTAATTCAAATACATTTATTTACTGAAAAGCAATAACATATTTGGTTTCTTGAAAGTTTTTTAATGTTTGGTATAGTCTTGACCCTCCAGTCTACTTCTGTTCACACACCACTTAGAGATGTATTTCTAGAGTTTTAGTTTTAGTAGTAAGACTTACCTTGATGCACAGAAGGATAGTTGATGTCAGCTACTTTGTGTTACATAGAAGAAAAAGCTGAAGGAAGGTTTATGTTCTGTGTTACTAGTCTGAGCCTCTTAGTCATTGTCAGGTGCCACCATCAGATCCTGGTTTTCTTCTCAACATTCTCTCATTCACCAACTTGGCCCTACCCTTGTGAGGAAATCATGCAATGTATTTGTAGTTTCCTCAAAAGATTTTCTCAACCTCTTCTTTCATACTTTGAATTTTCCATCTCCTTCACTTATAATATCCTTTTCCTTCTTCTTTTTTTTTTTTTTTTTTTTTTTGAGATGGAGTCTCACTCTGTCACCAGTCTGGAGTGCAATGGTGTGATCTCAGCTCACTGCAACCTCCGCCTCCCAGGTTCAAGTGATTCTCCTGCCTCAGCCTCCCGCATAGCTGGGACTACAGGCATATGCCACCACGCCCAGCTAATTTTTGTATTTTTAGAGATGGAGTTTAACCATGTTGGCCAGGATGGTCTCGATCTCTTGACCTCATGATCTGCCCACCTCAGCCTCCCAAAGTGCTGGGACTACAGGCATGAGCCACCATGCCCAGCCTCCTTTTTCTTTTAATTGTTCTCAAGCTCTTTGTTTTGTACATATTTACATACAGTAAGATTGTAAACACTGTGAGAGAAGAAGCCTTCTTTGTTTCTTCAATTAGTCCAAAGCAATTTAAAAGAAAAGCACTAAGTACTACTTTGTGTCAGGCCCTGTGCCAGGAGCTGGGGATGTAAAAGTGCATATGACACTCTGGGACCCTGGGAGATTCATAATATTCTCCTGTAATATCTTTTAGTAAATATTCAATAAACTCTTGTTATTGGAGACATAGAAAAACCACAGTCTTGTTTACCTACCCAGTCAAGACAGAAGCCTGGCAAGAACTATAATCCTATTAACCCCTCAATAATGTGTAAACATACATTGTTTTAATCAAGTGTATCAAAATTTGATAAAACAATATAGTTCAATGAAATATCCCAGATTTCTGTCTTCTAGAGCCTAAGAAAACAGTCAGTTGCATGTGGATCTTTGATGATATCATCAAATATATAACACAATGTTGGAAATGTCAATTCCCAACATTGTGCTTATATATTGTTTTAACAATACAAACTATAAACAGCATTCTCCAGTTGAAAAATTATTTTTTTATAATTGAACAGAAATAATATGTTTGAAATAGGAATTCAGCAGGAGTTGTTTCTCAGGACACAGGTCACAAAGACCCCGCTGATTAAATAGAAAAAAAAAAAAAAAAGCCAGCCAAAACCTGCCAAAACCAAGATGGTGACAAAAGTACCATCTGGTTACCCTCGCTCTTCATTATACGCTAATTATAATACATTAGTATACTAAAGGAAACTCATACCAGTGCCATGACAGTTTACAAATGCCATGGCAACATTCATAAGTTACCCTATATGGTCTGAAAGAGAAAGGGACCCTCAGTTCCCGGAATTCCCTGCCCCTTTCCCAGAAAACTCCTGAATGATCCATCCCTTGCTTAGCACATAATCAAGAAATAACCATAAGTATGGTCAGCCAAGCAGCCACACTGCTACTTTGCCTGTGGGGTAGCCACCCTTTTATTCCTTTACTTTTTGTTCTGTTTTGTTTGTTTGTTTGTTTGTTTTAAGATGGAGTTTCGCTCTTGTTGCCCAGGATGGAGTGCAATGGCATGATCACAGCTCACTACAACCTCTGCCTCCCAGGTTCAAGGAATTCTCCTGCCCACCTCAGCCTCCTGAGTAGCTGGGATTGCAGGTGCCCAGCACCATGCCTGGCTAATTTTATATATATATATATATTTCTTTAAGATGAAGTTTCACTCTTGTCGCCCAGGCTGGAGTGCAATGGCATGATCTTGGCTCACTGCAACTGTAGCAGGACGAGCCACAGACAAAACCTCTCAGACACCAAGTTGTAGAAGGAAGGGCTTTATTCCGCTGGGAGCATCCACAAGCTACTGCCTTAAAATCCGAGCTCCCCGAATGCACAACTTCTGTCCTTTTAAGGGCTCACAACACTGAAGATTTCACATGAAAGGGTCGTGATTAATTTGAGCAAGCAAGGGGTACGTGACAGGGGCTGCATGCCCAGTGGTCAGAGAGAAAGAGAACAGGGCAGGGAGTTTCACGATGTTCTTCTATACAATGTCTGGAATCTATGAATAACATTGGTTTCTAAGTCATGAGTTGATTTTTAACTACTAGGTTTAGGCCAGGCAGGCCCAGGTCCGGTTTTGGGCCTGCTGCCGGGCTGCCTGTCTTTGATTTCACTTCCTTGTTATTTCTTTTTTCTTAAAACAGGTACTGAGTATAAAACAATATAAAACAAAATGAGAGGGTCTCTCTCTTCCCTCACAACCTCTGCCTCCTGGGTTCAAGTGATTCTCCTCCCTCAGCCTCCTGAGTAGCTGGGACTACAGGTGCCCACAACCATGCCCAGCTAATTTTTATATACATATAATATATATATATATATATATTTTTTTTTTTAGTAGAGATGGGGTCTCATCATGTTGGCCAGGCTGGTCTCGAACTCCTGACCTCAGGTGACCCACCTGCCTCAGCCTCTCAAAGTGCTGGGATTACAGGCATGAGCCACTGTGCCCAGCCTTTCCTTTCCTTTTTAATAAGCTTGCTTTCACTTTACTCTGTCAGCTCGTTCTTGAGTTCTTTCCTACTGGAACCCAAGAACCCCTATGGTCTCCCAGGCTGAGCCCCAATTTTGGGGTTCACTCTGTGGCATTTTCATGAATTCCAACAATAAAGAACCTGCTATTTATAAACTTTTTTGACTGCAACACTGAATAGATAAAACTTACCTCTCCTGCTCAGATCTGGAAATGTTTATCAACTCTGAGCAGGCCCTAGACAAAATAGAAAGGCCACTAGACTTTAACTGTTTCATTCAAACAGAACAGTTCAAAAATCTCCAAAAGAGAAAAAAGAGCCAGAGGTTGTCATTTTAATCCTGTCCAGTAAAAGAGTGCAATATAAATAAAAATGGATGGAAATGCTCTCACCCATTTAAAACTTATGGCTTAAGCTGAAGAACAAATCATTTTTCAAAAATGTTACAGAAGTACAAGAAAAGCTCAAAATCCTCTGGTCAAATTTCTTTTTTATTACGCCAAATGAGAATTTTAAATGAAACCATGTCAAGAATACAGTGGTGCTTACTAGAGAAGGCAACAAAATTTCAGGCAACAATTCTAATGTTTGCACTTAGAATAGAGGAAAAGTGTTCATTTATTAAAAAAAGTATGCATGGCTGGACTTGGTGGCTCACGCCAATAATCCCAGCATTTTGGGAGGCCCAGGCGGGCAGATTGTTTGAGACCAGGAGTTCAAGACCAGCCTGGCCAACATGATTGATGTCTTATGTCTCCCCAAAACATAAAGAAACTGTTAGAAACAAGAGCTTGGAGTCACACGGGAAACAAGCACTCAAAGGATTTCTCAACAAGGCAAATTTACTTCTTCGGAAGGCTGCTGCTTGCACTTCTGGCCACTGCGAGATGACACTGAACAAAGGAGGGAAGGGGTTTTTATCCCCAGTGCAGTTATTCCCTGCTTCTGTGTCCCCATTGGCTGGAGCTGTACTGCACAATCCAAAGTGACACAATTGGCTACCATTAAAATTGAATATGGCTAATTAGGCGGGAAGGGAGAGGCTGTCCGTTATGGTACAAGGCATGTTTGGGCATGTCAGGGCACAGCAAAGCCAGAAGGGTAGTTTTGGCAGGAAGAGCTGTTTCGGCAGGAGAGGCAGTTTACAGAATGGGTAGCCAGGAGCAAAGAGGACTTCTTCCAAATAAGGAAGAGATATGAGTTACAGATTGGGACTGTCGGGAGAAGTTGTTTATGGAGCAGGTAGCTTAGGAGAAGGGACTAGGAAGTTGATCTCAAGAACAAAGAACAAAGAGGTCAAAAATTAAACCTTTGAAGAGGAACTTAGTGTATCTGACAAAACCAAGTTGTAACCCAACCACCTTGGGTGCATGTTCTCAGGATCTACCTCTTGAGCCTGTGTCTCGGGCCTTGGTCTGTCATATTTAACTTGGAATAAACCTCTTTAAATATTTTATGGTCTGACTCTGTTCCTAGAAAGAAACTCAGTCTGAAAGGAAGTGACCCCTGAGTGAGAGCCCTTATCTAGAAATGGAGCATTCAATCTTTAGGTCAAAATTCCACTTGCTATTTAGAAGTAAGTTGTGTGGACTTTTATCATTATAATAAGCATTTATAGTCATAGTGTAAGCAGTTGAGGTAGATGTTAAAGACCTGCATCAGAACTGAGGGTGTTTTCTATGCTCCTTATTTAACCAAGGGAGGTTTAGAATCTTTGCTTTTCCAGGTTTAGGCACATTTCATATTTCTTCCTTTCCAGTTTGAATGATGATATATTCCACTGTGTTTCTTTATCCATTCAATAAAAACCTTTTAGTAACTTCTACTTTTATATAGTCTTGGAGGAAATTAAAATATTTTACCCCAAAATATATTTCTTTGATATACTTTGAAATGGCTTTCTCTTAGCCACCTGACAGAACTGGCCTTACAAAGCACTCTTAAGTGGAGAAAATTTGCATCTGTAGAGAGTCTCCATTAATGCAGCCATGCCCCCTCACCTTTCTGAGCCTTTCTCCATATCCAGGAGAGATTGAGAGTCTGATGCCTTTAAAAGTTTAAAAAGAAACGTTTACCATCCATTGTCTCTGTTGGAGGTTTCATCTACGTAACAATGCCACCTTTGCTAATCAAGCCTCTTCTCCCCTTCCCATAACCTATTTTACCAGAATCTAAGTCCTCATTCTTTCTGTAACCTCTAAATGGTATATAAATTTCTGGAACTCATTGGGAAATTGGTTCTTCATTATGAAGGCTCCCATGTATACATGTTGAGAACATTTGTATGCCTTTTCTCCTGTTAATCAATCTGCCTATGCCACTGATTTTTAGCAAACCTTTAGGCGGCCAAGGGCCTTTGGCCCCCAGTCTTAAAATACTCTTCACCTTTCATGTATTTGATAAGTAGGACCTTGTGTTTCTGGATATTTGTCCCAAGTGAGGATGGCTTTGGGAAACAAGACAAATGCAAAATGTCTTGTAAAGCCGAGTGTCACAAGATGTTAAGACATCACAAGGAGAGGACTCAGCAGCTTTTCAGTAGCAGACAAATAGAGCAGTGACAGGTGATTTGGCCTGTCTCTTCCAGGGTAATCCCTCCAGCTCCTGTCAAATGCTATGGGTGGTTATGATGTTGTCTACACAAGGGACTAAAAGTGGAAAAAAGGTCTGAGTAATGCTGTGCTACAGGAAGGGGTTTTTGTGGTCTATGTAAGTTATTAAAATCTGCATTGACAACTTCCTATGTGGTTCTTCAGCTATTCAAAGAAAATAAAACCTCCTAAGTTATTTCCAGGCACACTGGTCTTTTTCTTTTAACTTACTCAGACATCACAAAGTGCCTAGACAATTGAAAGTTGGTCCTGATGACTCAATCTTTCCCCACCAAAGTTGTGAACACTGGAGGAAATAATGGATATTATTAGATAGTGCTTGACACATAATAGTTATGTAATTAATGTTTGTTTTCAAAAAGCTGGTGAGCAACAGCCTGAAATTGACGTTTTTTGTTCCTTCACCTTTAAGGGAAAGAGACCTGCAGTTAAATTTGAAATGATGGACAACTTGACCCCAAAAAGACCTTGCTGTAATTTGAATTCCTGTTGGCTGTCTGAAAGGTGAGATAAGGTTAGAGCTAAAGGTGAGTAAAGTAGACTAAAAGGCACTTCAAGCCTGGAAAACTTGTTTGCTTAGATGCAGTTTTATCCATACAATCACAGTCATATTTCTATTTGTGTTTCATATCAGATGGTGGCCTGGTAGGTATTTCTTGGTGCGAGTATGAACTCTAGACTGAAACAGGATTGAAGAACAGAGTAATTTAAGCAAATATTGAATTTCAAATGCAAGGTCTCACTTAAATGTAGGTAGAAGAGTCCACCTGTATTTAAAGAACAATGTAAGTATTAATATAAAAGAGAAAGATGACACAGAAAAATCAAGGAGACCAAAAGATGGTTATTTGAGAAGGTCACTGACATTGATAAAATAGATATTAAGAGTATGTGGGAGTGACTGAAAGGGAATTATTGGCCTTTGTGCCCAAATATCTTTCCCAGTTACCCAAACAGTGATATTACTCAATTCACTAGTTAAGACATTGATATGTCTTATTCAGATGGAAAATAAAGTTTGAATAGAATAAAATATGAAATCATCACCAGCTATTAATATCTTATGGTTATTATATTACTAGGTCGGTTGGAGTCTTAGAGATGGGTCAAAGGACGGGTAAGTTTTGATGAGGGACAGGGTTTGGGAGGTTCAGAAGATAAGAGGATACCTAACGTTCCATCTTGCTGAAGAAGAAACCAAAGCAATAGAAAGAATTGTGCCTTATGCTGAAAGATGATTCCAGTTTTATTTCCAGAATGTTTTTTCCTCTTGGAACATATGTGTAGATTTAAATGTGACTTCTGTTGAGCCGTATTAATTCTCCTATCTTTTTCCTTAAAATGTACAATAAGAAACAAAGAAGACTAGCTCCCTCTAAGAAGAAAACAGACTATGATACGATAGAGAAATGTTGATGAAAAGAGTCAAAACCTGTAAAATATTTAGAGAGGTTTATTCTGAGGCAAATATGGGTAGCCAGTGACGCAGCCCCAGGAGGTCTTGAGAACATGTCCCCAAAGTGGTTGGTTTACAGATTAATTTTTATTTTTTTTTTTGAGATGGAGTTTTACTCTTGTTGCCCAGGCTGGAGTGCAGTGGTGCAATCTTGGCTCACTGCAACCTCTGCCTCCCAGGTTCAAGTGGTTCTCCTGCCTCAGCCTCCCAAGTAAATGGGATTACAGGCATGCACCACCACACCTGGCTATTTTTGTATTTTTAGTAGAGACAGGATTTCACCATGTTGGCCAGTCTTGTCTCGAACTCTTGACCTTAAGTAATCTGGCCACCCTGGCTTCCCAAAGTGCTGGGATTACAGGCCTGAGCCACTGTGCCCTGCCTACAGCTTGATTTTATACATTTTTGGGAAACAGAAGTTACAGGCCAGCATCAATCACTACTTGTAAGGTACACATTTGTTCAGTATGGAAAGGCAGGGCAACTCGAAGCGGAGGGTTCCAGGTCATAGGTAGTTACCAAGATTTTCTGATGTGGTTGAAAGGATTAGGTTATTATCTAAAGACCTGGAATCAACAGAAAGGAATGTCTAAGTTAAGATAAGGGGTTGTGGAAACCATGGTTGTTATGCAGATGAAACCCTAAGTAGCAGGCTTTAGAGAGATTACATGGTAAAGGTGCCAGACTCTTAGTTAAATCTCTCTTGGATCCGGAAAAGACCTGGAAAGGGAAGGGTGTTCTCTACAGAAAGTAGATTTTCCCCACAAGAGACAGCTTTGCAGGACCACTTCAAAATATGTCAGAGACATATATTTTGGGGTAAAATACTTTGATTTTTTTTCAGTATCTGCTATCTTTGATGTGATACTATACTGGAGTCAGATTAGAATTTGGTATCTTATTACTACAAAGAGCTTGTTTTGTCACTCATAAGATCTCTGTTTCAGTGTTAATGCTGGGTAGCTGTGATGGAATTCCAAAGAGAGGAGAGTATAATGAGGCATGTCCAATACCCAGCCCCCTTCCCATCATAGCCTAAACTAGTTTTTCATGTTTATTGTGGAATTCCCTTGGCTGAGAGTGGGATCCATTCAGTCTGTTTTGGGGATTAGAATTTTATTTTTGCTTTACTGAAGAAAGGCTATTACTTGAAGCAAGTGAAAAATGCTATATGCAAATTATGAGAATACACAAACACCTACATCTACATCTACCTAAGGAATGGCTAATTCTATTTGTCAGCTTGACTGGGCTAAAAGATGCCCAGATAGCTGGTAAAACATTATGTATGGGTATGTTTGTGAGAGCTTTTCTGGAAGAGATTAGCATTAGAATCAGTAGACTGAGTAAAGAAGAACAACTTCACCAATATGTGTGGACATCGTCCAGTCCATTGAGAGCCCAAATAGAACAAACGGTGGAGGAAGGGTGAATCATTCTGTTTAAATTGGGTCATTCGTCTTCTCCTGCCCTGGGAGATTGGAGCACCTCGTTCTCAGGCCTTCTGACTCAGACATGGACTTAACACTATCAGCCCTGCCCCAGTTTAAGGCCTTCAGACTCAAACTGAGTAACACTACCAGCCTTCCTGGTTCTCCAAGGTTGCAGATTGCAGAGTGTGGGACCTGTTGGCTTCCATAATCATCTGAGCCAATTACCATAATAAACCCATACCCCTGGATTCTCCTCTACTTAAGGGTTATAGCCCCGTAAGTCATGTTTATTGTGGAAATGTGAAAATGCATTTAATACACCTAACCTACCTACCATCATAGCCTACCTTAAACATTCTCAGAACATTTATATTAGCCTATAGTTGGGCAAAGCATCTAACACAAAGCCTATTTTATAACAATCTGTTAAATATCTCATGTAATATATTGAATATTTTATTAAAATATACCACTTTTATACCATCAGTAAGTTGAAAAATCGTAAGTGAAACCATCATAAGTTGGTGACTGTATGTCTGTGTATATATATATATGTGTGTGTGTGTGTGTGTGCACATAGATACCTATCTATAGATCTCTACATAGGTTCTGTTTCTTTGGAGAAACCTAACTAATACAGATTTTGGTACTGAGAGTGTTTATAGAGCAATCAAATTTTAATAATGACTTTCTTAATTAGATCTAGGGTTTCTGGAATTGGCTTTCACATCTGATTAGATTTAAAGGCAATAGTGATGCTATTTCCAGTGGTAAAGAGAGCACTGATCGTCTAAGCCATCATCTGTTTATAGAGACATGCATATTATCTGCACTGGATACTCATAATTAACTACTTACAAGAAGCAAGGAGTTTGGTGACTCTGTATATGATTGATACTTTTGGACATTTTTTGAATACTAAGGAACATAATGATGTCAGATGGTTGTTTCTAATGTTATTGGAAAAAGTGTTGAAATAAATGAATGAACTCAAGGATTTGAATTCCCAGCTCAAGAGACTCATAAATGAACCTGGGCAACGTGGCAAAACCCCGTCTCTACTAAAAATACAAAAATTAATCGGGTTTGATGGTACATGCCTGTAGCCCCAGTCACTCGGAAGCCTGAGGCATAAGAATTGCTTGAACCTGGGAGGTGGAGGTTTTAGTGAGCCGAAATTGCACCATAGCACTCCAGCCTAGGTGACACAGCAAGAGTCTGTGTCAAAAAAAAAAAAAAAAAAAAGAGAGAGTGAGAGAAAGAGACCCATAAATGACCTAAGAGTTTCTAAGTGTCCTCTGAAGGAGGGCATTATCACTTGTAGCCACAGGGTGGAAATTGCTGAAAATTAAGAACTTCGTCCTGCAATTGGCTGAATTTTAATGCGAGATGAAGTCCCAGCTCTACAGGGTGACTGCTGTTAAAGTGAGGGCAACTTATTGGGGAAAAAATGTAAGTTGGGATGGGGGCCTGTGGAAATACCCTGACGCAGCTGGGGACACTAAGCCCCTGAATTATGATGAATCTTCTTTGACATTGAAAGCAGTCTCCCCACACCAATGGAAGTGGCTGCCCTACCCCAGGTGGAATTGGGTCCCCGCTACCACAGTGGTATCAGCTTTTCCGCCACCATCTGAGAGTACTAATACTGAGGAAAAGGGTAATGGCCTCCCCTGAGGCAGCTGCCACGTAAGATAATGCTGATTATCCTCAGTATCCACCCTGCTACCGCTCTTTTCTTCTAGACTTGTAACAAGACTCAAGTCTCAGCAGACCCCTAAAGATAAGGTACAAAATATGACTTATGCGGAGATGTACTACATGCCAAAAGAACTACTTGAATTCTTGAATTTTCTTTATCTTTTTTTTTTTTTTGAGATGGAGTCTCGCTTTGTTGCGCGGGCTGGGGTGCAGTGGTGCAATCTCAGCTCACCAACCTCCACCTCCCAGGTTCAAGCCATTCTCCTGCCTCAGCTTCCTGAGAAACTGGGTTTACAGGTGCACACTACCACATCTGGCTAATTTTTGTATTTTGAGTACAGATGGGGTTTCTCCATGTCAGCCAGGCTGGTTTTGAACTCCTGAACCTCGTGATCCACCCTTCTCAGCCTCCCACAGTGTTGGGATTACAGGCGTGAGCCACCGCGCTCAGCTTAACTACTTGAATTTTCTAATTCACACAAGCAAAAATCTGGGGGACATACATAGAATAGATATTAAGGGTATAGGGTAATGGTGGAAGGAACATAAAGTTGAATTGGGCTGAATTTATTGATATGGACTCACTAAGAAGAGATTCTGCATTTAATGTTCCAGTTCAGGGAGTTAGAAAGGGCTCTTTCAGTTTGTTTGGTTTATTGCTGAAACATGGATCAAAAGATGGCCCAGTATGAGCGAATTAAAAACGTTGGATCTCCCTTGATTTAATATGGAGGAAGAGATTCAAAGGCTTAGAGACACCGGAATGTTAAATTGGATTTATCATTGAAGACCTACTTACCACCCACATGGGCAGGGTCTAGAAGGCATACCATTTACCAATACTTTCAGAAATAAATTTGTGAGGGGAGCCCTAGTATCCTTGAAGAGTTCCATGATTGCTGTTCTCTGTAGGTCAGACATTTCAGTGGTAACCCCAGGTTCTTGCACTCTCCCAGGATAGAAATCAAAAGAGATCACTGAACACAAGCAGCAAACATTAAGTTTAAGTTTATTCCACCTTGTGCACAAGGGAGCTAGCCCTGAGAAAGGAAAAACAAGTGAACTGTTCCCCAAGGACAGTATGTGAGTTAGTTTTATAAGGTCTTTCCATAGGGAAAGCTTACATCAGCAGGTACATGTACAGGAGGAGCTTTTCTAACACTTGCATGGTGGTCAACATGCTTCTTCATACATTGTATGTAACATTAGCATTTTAAATCGCTACCCTGGGCATGAAAATGAGGAGGCATTAAAATGATGAAGAGGTAACTTTAGGTTGGAGTTTAAGTCTAGCTGTGCATGCAGAGCTCTGGGGAAATCCCTAGCCCTCTGAAATAGAAGCTTGTGGTTAATAGTCTCTTGGGTCTCTTGTTAGTGACTGTCTGAGAGATAAGCTAGAGTTTCAGTGAGGGGCTTTTATCCTTTTCCTCCAGACCATCTTAAAATAGGGAATCAACCAACCTGCCTGTCTCAACCTCAGCTACTCAATTAGAAAACTTAAATGCAATGAAAGTGATTGGACCTTGGGATGCCAGAGAATAAATAGTAGCACTGAACTGCCAGGAGCAAGGTCAGTGTCATTAATAATGGACAGCAGGGCGAAAGTAGTAATCAGAATAGTCTGACTTGGTCAGACCTATGGTGTTGAGCAGTTAATCACAGTGTTCCTAGAAATGAAATAGATATTGTATTAGTCAGGGTTCTCTAGAGGGACAGAGCTAATAGGATAGATGTATGTGTGTGTGTGTGTGTGTGTGTGTGTGTGTGTGTATATATATATATATATATATATATATGAGTTTATTAAGGAGTACTGACTCACACAATCACAAGGTGAGGTCTCACAGTAGGCCATCTGCAAGCTGAGGATCAAGAAAGCCAGTCTGAGTCCCAAACCTGAAGAACCTGGGGTCCAATGTTTGAGGGCAGGAAGCATCCAGCACAGGAGAAAGATAGAGGCCAGAAGACTGAACCAGTCTAGTCTTTCCTCATTCTTCTGCCTGTTTTTATTCTGGCCATGCTGGCAGCTAATTAGATGGTACCCACCCAAACTGAGGGTGAGTCTGCCTCTCCCAGTCCACTGACTCAAATGTTAATCTCCTTCGGCAACACCCTCACAGACACACCCAGGAGCAATATTTTGCATCCTTCAGTGCAATCAAGTTGACAATCAGTATTAACCACAACAGATACCAAGCCTACTAAATTCTTACATAATCTGTATAAGCAGAAAAGTTCTAGGTCAGGTGGGCAAAAGTATAACTTGAATCATAAAAACAGAGAGTCATAGCCCCTTAATGAATTCTCAGACTTGAGCCAGTTTACAGACACAGAATCACTTGAATGAAGAGAAGGAAAGGTGCCCTTGAGGAAAGTCTCTGATATACTACTGATAAATGTACATACTATTCATCTTTTTCCCACTTTTCCCCAAATTTACCTATTTTTGCCAGGGACTGCATTTAGGCAAAGAAAATAATGAGACATTTTCAGGACTACTAGGCACTGGCTACAAACTGACTAGTTCCAGGAGATCCAAATCATCATTTGACCCTCCAGTCAGAATTGGGGCTTATAGAGGTCAGGTAATGAATGGATTGTAAGCTCAGGTCTGCCCCACAGTAGAGCTAGAGGGTCTCCAACCCATCCTGTGGTTATTTCACCAATTCCAGAATGTATACTTGGGATAGACATATTCCGCAATCCTTACATTGTTTCCATGACCTTTGGATTGAGGGCTATTATTGTGGTGAAGGCCAAGTAAAAGCCACTGGAACTGCCTCCTCAGGAAAATAGTAAATCAAAAACGTTATAGCATTCCTGGAGGGAGTGTAGAACCATCTGTAAAGCAGGTTCTGGTCTTCTCTTCTTTTGTCTACTGGCAGGAAACTCCTCATGCAGCCATAGGTGCAGGCTGGGAGAGAGAAGGCAGGGTAGCAAGAGTGGGGACCATAGGCATTTGAGCTACTTCTTCATGCAACTTACTTGTGCCTTCAAGACCTGCTCAGGCCTTATTACTTACATACCACTTCCATTTGATGAAGGAGTACTGATGTACGTGGCCAAATTTATGACTTGTTGGGTCAGATAACATACAATTCAGATCACATGATTCTTTGGTGGCCCATGATTCAATTACAGTGCTAGCTACATGGCAGTACCTTGCAGGGCTTGGGTAAGATTGTCCAGAAGGATATTCTGAATTGGCATCCTATATATGGTATGTTTTTTTCTGATAGCCGGGTTTCATGGGTCCAGGAATCAAAAGGTGGAAATAGGAGTGACACCACTCACTGTTATTCCTAGTGACCTTCTAGCAAATTTTTTACTTTCTGTTCCCACAACTTTATGCTCTGCTGGCCTAGAGGTGTTAGGTCCAATGCAAATCAAGAGATTAGTGCCACCATCAAAAACTTGAAAGGTGCAGGGTTGGTGACTCCCACCACATCCCCATTCAACTCTCCCATTTGGCCTGTGCAGAAGACAGATGGAACTTGGAGAATGATAGTGGATTATTCTAAGCTTGAACAAGTTATGACTCCAATTGCAGCCGCTGAAGCAGACGTGCTTTCATTGCTTGAACAAATGAATGCATTCCCTGGTATGTGGTACACAGATATTGATCTGAAAAATGCCTTTTTTTCCTATACCTTTCCATAAAGTCCTCCAGAAGCCATTTGCTCTCAACTGGCAGGGTCAGCAATACACCTTCACTGTCCTACCTCAAGGGTATATCAATTCTTCATCTCTATGTAATAATTTAGTTCACAGAGGTGTTTTCTAAAACACTTACTGGTTTATTAGAAAGGATATTACAAAGGTCACAGATGAAGAGATGCATAGGACAAGGTATGGAAAGGGGCGTGGTGCTTCCATACCCTCCCAGGCAGGAGTGGTATTCTCCAGGAACCTCCTCATGCTCATCTATTTGGAAGCTCTCTGAACCTGTCCCTTTGGGGTTTTACGGAGGCTACATTAGGTAGGCATGACTGATTAACTCAATGGCCATTGATGATCAGCTTAACCTTCAGACTCTCTTTCCCAGCCAGAGGTTGGGCTGAAAGTCCCAATCCTGTAATCATGCCTTGCTTTTTCCAGTAACCAGCCCCTATCCTGAAGCTGCCTAGGGGCTGCCAGCCATCAGTCAACTCATTAGCATACAAAAGACATCACTTTAGAGAGCCTAAGGATTTTAGAATTTGTATACCAGGAAACAGGTTGAAGACCAGTTCGCAGGAATCTTGACTGCCTTTCTCTTCAGATGGATATCACACTGGCGCATTACATTGATGACATTATGCTGATTGGACCTAGTGAGTAAGAAGTAGCAACTACTCTAGACTTATTGGTAAGATATTTGCATGCTAAAGGGTGGCAAATAAACTGAATTAAAATGTAGTGACCTTTTACATAAGTGAAATTTGTATGGGTCCAGTGGTGTGGCACATGTGAGATATTCCTTCTAAGGTGAAAGATAAGTTGTTGCATCTGGTCCCTCCTACAACCAAGAAAGAGACACAATGCCTATTGAGCCTCACTGGTTTTCAGAGGCATCATATTCCTCATTTGGCTCTGTTGCTCCAGCCCGTTTACCAAGTGACCCAAACAGCTGCTAGTTTTGAGTGGGGCCCAGAACGAGAGAAAGTTCTGCAACAGGTCCATGCTGCTATGCCAGCTGCTCTGCCACTTGGGCCACGTGACCCCACAGATATGATGGGGCTTAAAGTATCAGTCATAGGTAGGGATGCTGTTTGGTGCCTTTGGCTGGCACCTGTGGGTGAAATGCAGCACAGACTTTTAGGATTTGGAAGTGAGGCCCTGACATCATCTGCAGATTTAAAAATACTTTCAAGAGACAGCTCTTGGCTTGCTACGAAGCCTTAACTGACTAGTTTCAGGAGACCCAAATCATCATCTGACCCTCCAATCAGAGTAGGGGCTTATAGAGGTCAGGTAATCAATGGATTTTAAGCTCAGGCATGTCCTACAGTGGGTCTAGAGGGTCTCTAAACCCATCCTGTGGTTATTTCACTCACCAATTCCAGAATGTATACTTGGGATAAACATACTCTTCAATCCTTACATTGTTTCCATGACCTGTGGAGTGAGGGCTATTGTGGTGAAGGCCAAACACTGACTGCTTGATCATGGGCCACCAAAGAATCATGAGACCTGAACTGTACGTTATCTGACCCAACAAGTCATAAGGTTGGGCATGCACAGCAGCATGTCTTCAAGTGGAAGTGACATATAAATGGTCAGGTCTGAGCAGGTCCCAAAAGCACAAGTAAGTTGCATGAAGAAGTGGCCCAAATGTCTATGGTTCCCACTCCTGCTACACTGCCTTCTCTCTCGCAGCCTGTGAATGCATGGGGAGTTCCCTATGACCAGTTGACAAAGAAAGAGAAGTTTGTAGCCTAGTTTACAGATGGTTCTGCACAATATGTAGGCACTACCCAGAAGTGGACAGCTGCAGAGGGCTGTAGAGCCCTTCTCTGGGGCATCCTTGAGGGACAGTGGTGAAGAGAAATCCTCCCTGTGGGCAGAACTTTGGGTGGTGCATCCGGTTGTGCACTTTGCTTGGAAATGGCTGGAAATGGCTGGATGAGCAATTATATACCAACTCATGCTCAGTAGTCAATGGTTTGGCTAGATGTTTAGGAAAGAAACACGATGGAACAATAAGTGGCAGAGAAGTCTAGGGAAGAGGTATGTGGCTAGAACTCTCTGAATGGGCAAAAAACATGGATATTTGTGTCCCACATGAATGCTTACCAGAGGATGACCTCACCAGAGAAGGATTTTAACAATCAAGTCAATAAGATGACCTATTTTATGGATACCTCCTGCTTCTTTCCCCAGCCACGTCTGTCATGATCCAAAGGGCCATGGTTGCAGGGACAGAGGTTATGTAAGGGCTCAGCAACATAGACTTTCACTCATCAAAACTGACTTGGCTTTGGCCACTGCTGAGGGGTCAAATCTGCCAACAGCAGAGATCAACACTGAGACCTCCCAATGTGGCACAATTGCCCAAGGTGATCATCCAGCTAACCTGGGGGTGGGTTGATTGTATTGGATCACTGCCACCATGAAAGGGGCAGTGTTTTGTCCTTACTGAAACAGATATTTACTCTGGATATAAATTTGCCTTCTCTGTATGCAATAATTCTGACAAAACTACCATCTGTGGACTTACAAAATGTCTTATCCACCGTCATGTTTTTATATACAGCATTATTTCTTAAGAAGAAACTCACTTTATAGGAAAAAAAAAAAAAAAAAAAAACAACAACAACAGAAAAAAACGCAGCAATGGGCTCATGCTCATGGAATTTGCTGGCCTTGCTATGTTATGTTCTGTACTGTCTTGAAACAGCTGGTCTGCTAGAACAGTGGAATGGCTTTTTGAAGACTCATTTGCAGTGCCAGCTACATGGCAATATTTTTCAGGCTGGGGCAAGATTGTGCAGAAAGATGCTCTGAGTCAGTATCTTAGATATGTTTCTCTGTTAGCCAGGATTCATGGGTCCAGGATTCATGGGTCCAGGAATCACGGGGGAGAAATGGCAATGGCACCACTCATTGTTACCCCTAGTGGCTCATTAGCAATTTTTGCTTCCTGTTCCCACAACTTTATGCTCTGCTGACCTAGAGGTGTTAAATCTAGAGCAAGGAATGTTTTCAACAGGTGACGGAATACTGATTTCATGGGACTGGAAGTTAAGACTGCCAGTAGGCTGCTTTGGACTCCTCGTGTCTCTGAGTCAACAGGCTAAAAAGGGAGTGACAGTGTTGGCTGGGGTGATTAATTTGGAATTCCAAGGGGGAAATTGGACTGCTCTTCCACAACAGAAGTAAGGAAGAATATGCCTAGGAGACACAAGATCCCTTAGGACATCCCTTAGAATTACTGTCCCCTATGGTTGAGGTGAATGGAAAGCTACGCCAGCCCAACCCAGGTATCCTACTAATGGCCCAGACCCTTCAGGAATAAAGTTGTTGGGTCATTCCAGGGGCAAAGAACCATGACAAGCTGAGGGCTGAGGTGTTTGCTGAAGGCAAAGGAAATATGGAATGGGTAGTAGAAAAATGTAATTATACATACCAACTACAACTGTATGATCAGTTACAGAGATGAAGACTATAATTATAGTTCTTTCCTATTTTGTTATCAATATATTTGTGTCTATGTAAACATATATTAAGCAAATATCTTTGTTTTCTTTATTCTCTTGATAAGGCCATTGGTGACCTATGCAAGAATATTATCAGCCTAGTGATGAGGTGGTAAGTCGTATTTCAGGATACTAAAAAGAGAATGAATAGAGAGGAATAGAAAACTGTGTTGTAAGAAACTGTCTTTGAACACAAGGAGAATAAGAATAAGCAGGAAAGTTCAAAATGGTCATGCTTTCCCGCCTCAAACTGAGAGAGGTTTGAGCTTATTTCAAAGCAGAAAAGAGGAGCGAGAAATGCTATAGATGCCAGAGAAAAGAGCCCATAACAGAAACAGTGAAGATAGAAGGTTATTTACTTTGGAAATAATATTAAGCAACTCTCCCTTGAAATGTAGCATAAGAACATAGATCTAGAGGGAAAAGGAAAAAGAGTGTCAGATGAATAAGGAGTAATAACAGAGTGTTATCGAGGACTTGAAGAAGAAAGGTTTGAACTACCACTTGTTCTGTGTGCACAAAGTTTAAAATAATTCAATATAAAAGGTGAGAGCAACAACAAAATCCTGGTTGAACCTAATGGTGTGTCTTTTTGGATAAAAAGTGTTCAAAGAGACCACATAATTGTTCATAAACATTTACTGCTATAGCATCACTTTACTACTTGCTAATTAATTCACTAAGATTGATGAGGATTAAATTGGGAGAGCGAGATACTGGAAAATTTTATTTTCTGATCCTACGCACTCACACCCAATGTGAGCCAAAGCCCCGGTTGTCAATGGTTACACCACTGTGATTCAGAAGAAAGCTGTTCCACATTAGTAAATTAGATTAAAAACACATTGTTACTTTCAACATTAGCAAAAGCCACATGGTATGTTGCAACAAAGCAGAAGATTAGGGAGCATAATATCTTTCCAAACTAAGCAAGGTGGCAGGGTGGCAAGCACTTACTCACTTACATCTTGGGGATGCAAGAGGAGTTCTTGCTTTAAAAGTAGAATTAACTCTGAGGAAGTAGAGCAAAGGCATTGTTCATCAGAAAGACCAGACAACGAGACATAGTTGATGTCAAGATAAACTACATGAGAGAAGCATGAGGGAAATCTGGCAAAGGTAATCATATGCCGAGAAAAAGAGAAATGTAATTTAGGAAGTAGGAAACCAGTAGCTACTGTGATTAGCTGGCAGAGAGGCAAAGGAAAAAGAGCTGAAACTCCAACTAATAATATACATTAAAATGGAGGGATGATGTTTTTTTCCCACATGCGTTTTTCTCTTTATTAAATAGGAACTGCATTGAAATTTGAATGTAGCTTCTCAGAATAAATCTGGGCATGTGTCCAACCTTGTTATTTCCACTTCCAAGGTCAATGAGCTAATATTTCAGTAGCACGTGTTTGCCTTTCATTTAGGCTTATTTCAAGCTCGATCATTACAGAGAAGGCTCTTCTCCTATTCCTGTTCCATTATTGTAGCCCATACCAGAGGAAAAGTGTTTCTGGACACTTGTAGACAAAGAAAATAGCCCGACTCCATTCTTCTTTAAGTCTAATGACACGTGAAATAGGTATCATTTGGTTATGATCGTAACACAATCGCTAGTGTCTAACCCAGCAAACAAAGGTTTCAGATAGATCCCAAGAGACAATTTTTCCTGAGAAATTAGAACAGGATTTCAGAAATCAGCAGAGTACTTTCTAATAGGAGATTACTGTCAGCATACTCTGGGGACTAAAGACAAGGGTGGGCCACTGGAGAGCCTGGAAATAGATCACACAGAATTCACTCCAAACTAATTATCAGTTTTCATTGAAATCATCTGTACCAAAGGGCTCAGGATTTGAGCAGTGACTGTACAAGTAGACTGTCGTGGTTTCCTATAGATTCATGGCAGGCAGCAGCATCAGGAAAGAGGCCAGAAATGGCTCTTTTATAAACCTGGAATAAGTGATGTATCAAAAAGACACCTCAGGAGTGGAAATTTACACATAAGCTCGGGTAGGAAGCTAGAATGATCCATGTGATAATTGATTAGAGTTGAAGGCATCAATGTGAACTCACGTTTAGCTTAATATAGATATAAATTATTATGTATAAGAATATTTATAGATATTTGTGTCTAGACAGGTCAGACTATACACATATATTTCCTTGTTCTGTCAGCTGAGGTCTCAGCTGTAACAAGCACACCCTAATATGCAGATCTTAAGATCTTAGTTTCTGTTTCTTTTCCTTCCTTCCTTCTTTCTTTCTTTCTTTCTTTCTTTCTTTCTTTCTTTCTTTCTTTCTTTCTTTCTTTCTTTCTTTCCTTCCTTCCTTTCTTTCTTTCTTTCTTTTTTTTTTTTGTGACAGGGTCTTGCTCTGTCACCCAGGCTGGAGTGCAGTGGCATGAACATGGCTCACTGCAGCCTCTGCCTCCTGGGCTCAAAAATCCTCCTACCTCAGCCTCCCGAGTAGCTGGGACCACAGGTATGTGCCACCATGCTTGAAATTTTCTAAAAAATTAATTTTTATTTAGAGCTCGGGTTCTTGCCATGTTGCCCAGGCTTGTCTTGAACATCTGGGCTCAAGCAGTCTGCCCATCTTGGCCTCCCAAAGTGCTGGGTACAGGTGGTAGCCACCATGCCTGGCCAAGATCTTTGTTTCTAATGCCATTGTCCAATAAAAGAAACTATAGCTCCTTGAAGAAATAACTTGTTCTGGGATTGGGGTAGGAAGTGTACAAGATGAGCCTGGAGAATCTTACAGTATAAGAAAGTAAGAAAATACTAAAAAGAAAAAAATCCACAATAATGGGGGCATATCAAAGAAACACAGCAGCCAACTGAAAGAGCACCCAATAGCCAAAGCTGGAATAATTTGAGCAAAAAGAAACAAAAAATTCCAAAAAGATATAGTAGTATTAGTTTATAACCCAAAGTATAAAATAAATATCCATGAATCCACACTGATGTAAATTAATGATTACATCCATAAATAAATGAGGATGGTGAGACAAATCTCTCATGTGAAATAATTCCAAATAATACATGTAGACAGTGGTCCTCAAGGAGAGGCAGCTTGACTTGTCACTCCTCAAATGTGGGATGGGCAGAGTGACTTTCCCCGACAGATGATAGCATGTGTGGGTAACATTACAGTGGGAAAGCCTAACAAATATTACTACAAGCAAGTCATCAATCACCTGGGACACTAGATGAGGCTGGTAGAACAGGCTGTGCTTATACAATTTATTCATTGTAAGTTGTGGTTTCTGTTCAAATTAACTCTTTTGTAAGTGTATATACATTTTGTTTAGCTTTCTGTTTACCAAATAACGTTTTATGGATATCCAGGGCTCCAGCTTCCTATCCACCTGCCTCAAAATGTTGTGTCACAAACACAATGACAGTTTATCATTTAAAAAAATCCTCCAAACTAAAATCTTGGTAGATAGTAAGGGGGAACAAGAAAAACAATTAACCCTGCTTGTAGGCAAATCCCTAGGCTGGAAACACTTTTCCTCTTCTAAGGGTGGATAAATAAAAATCATTATAGAGCTCATGAAAACATGCTGCAACATAAAAAATAAAAACAAAGATCCATAGGATGGTTATAAATGGAGAAATGATTAACCACAAGAAAATAATTAATTTTAAAAGTGAATCTGCTCTGAGTTCTTAATAAAATGTAAGAAAACTTGATTTTGTGATACAGTTAATCAAAGCTAAAATGATAATGCCTTAGAACACAATAAAAAATGAGTTTTCTCAAAAGAGACACAAAGAAAGAGGTAAGAAAAAATATGAAGAGGATAGAAAGGCAGAGGAGGAGGTAAACGTAATAGAAGCTAGGAAGCATAGAAACAGAAACTGCAGAGAATTTAAAAATATATAAGTGATATAGAGACTAGATTGAAAAGACTTTCAGAATGCAAGAGAAAATGAGAAGGCAATTAATATGAAAAGTAATTAACTTTCAAAGATGGGAGAAAATGGAGGTAAGACATAAAGACGGTAGGGTGATTCTGAAGAAGAATAAACAAATATAGATAATTTACATGTTAAATCATTGGTTCTTAGAAAAAGGGGAAAATTCCCAAGTCTTTTTATGAGGCTAATATTAATATGAAACATGACAGATTGCATTTAAAAAAACTTTACAGATCACTTTCACTTAAAAATGCTGATATAAAGGATTAAATAAAACATTAGCAAAAACAATTCACAGTGTAATAAAAGAATATTGTAGTTCATTCCAGGACTACAAGAACAGCTCATTATTAGAAAATATATTTATATAATTTATAGTATTGATTTAAAGAGAAAAATATAAATATCTCCATAGATTTTAAAAGACATTTCACAAAATTCAATACAATTTTTATAAAAGAAGAGAAACAATTTCTATAAAGTGAAAATAAACTAAAAGGAATGGACTAGATGTTTATAAAATTGCTATAATAACCTCCAATGACTTTAAAATGCATCATTTTTGTTCTCTTTTGAAGTTATTGTAGGATAAAATAAGCAGGAAATTTGTTCATATTTTTGGAACCAAAATACTAAGTTGAAGAGAATACAGATACAATAATAATATTATAGAAAGTTACATTAGAAATCTGTAATCAAATTTTTGAAATGGAAATATCAGTATAGACTTCTGATCTGTATTTATTGCTGTAAAATTACACATTTTTTATCTCTGTCCACTAAAAATGCCCTAGAATCAATAACAACTCAGTAAAATGAGCACCCTCTAGGAATCAGATTTTATTCTCTAAATACCATTTCCCACTGAAAAGAACCACAGCTTATTATAGAAATCACTGCTACCAGGTCTGAAGGAGAAAATGCTCAAGATGAGATTAACACCTGCAAAAATAAAACAATGCTATCGGTGATAATTGGAGTTTATTAAAAGGACATAGGAGCTTGCGATAATAGCAGAATGATGAACTATGATGTTTCAAGCTCGTATTCTACCACAGAAACACTAAAAATCAAGTAGTAAATAGCAAAAACAACTTTGTTGGAGTTTTGGAAAACATCAAAAGTTTACAGCAACCAAGAGAACACCCAACCAAGAAGAAACCATCTTCAAAATAGTAAGCTTGTTTTGTAGAGTTTTAACTCACCCCGGCCCCATTCTCTCCCTGGCATGGCAGTGCTGCTTGTCTTGATGTAGCTAGCAGTCCAGTTACCAGCTCCTTCCCTTGGACAGGAAAAAGAATAGCAAACATTATTTACAAACTTTGGTGTATGTATGTTCTAACCTCTCTGGGGAATACCTGAATCAATGAGGCAAGGCACTTAAGTTTTTTAGCTAATTTGGAGCTCAGGTGAAAAAAGCAACAGGTACTGCAGGTAAAACAGATAGCTCAGGCAAGAGGTTATAGATGAAGGCATAGAATACACCATCTAAGGCTCAGAAGAGAAGCTTGGGTAAGGCATTTTGAGAAACGAGGACCTTCAAAAGAAGCTGTATAGGTGAATTTTAAAAACTATTGTGATGGTTAATTCTAAGTGTCAACTTGATTGAAGGATACAAAGTATTGATCCTGGGTGTGTCTGAGAGGAAAGGAGATTAACATTTGAGGCTGTGGGCTGGGAAAGGCAGACCTACCTTTAATCTGGGTGGGCACAATTTAATTAGTTGCCAGCATGGCTAGAATATAAGCAGGCAGAAGAATGTGAAAAGAGAGACTGGCCTAGCCTCCCAACCTCGATCTTTCTCCCCTGCTGGATGCTTGCTGCCCTTGAACATCAGACTCCAAGTTCTTCAGTTTTGGAACTCGGACTGGCTCTCCTTGTTCCTCAGCCTGCAGATGGCCTATTGTGGGACCTTGTGGTCGTGTGAGTTAATATTTAGTAAACTCCCCTTTTTGTGTGTACATACATATATATATATATATATATATATGTATATATATATATATATATATATATATAAAATTATATATGTAATATTACCCCCTCTCCTCCCAGATATATAAAATACATAGCATATATATAATATGTATGCTAGAAGATGACCGAATAGGAACAGCTCTGGCCTGCAGCTCCCAGTGTGATTGACCTAGAAGATGTGTGATTTCTGCATTTCCAACTGAGGTACCTGGTTCATCTCATTGATACTGGTTGGACAGTGGGTGCAGCCCATGGAGTGTGAGCTGAACCAGGGTAGGGCATCACGTCACCTGGGAAGCACAAGGGGTCAGGGGATTTCCCTTTCCTAGCCAAGGGAAGCTGTGATAGACTGTACCTGGAAAAACGGAACACTCCTGCCTAAATACAGTGCTTTTCCAACGGTCTTAGCAAACAGCACACCAGCAGATTATATCCCATGCCTGGCTTGGCAGGTCCCACGCCCATGGAGCCTTGCTCACTGCTGGCTTCGCAGTCTGAGATCAACCTGCAAGGCAGCAGCCTGGCAGGGGGAGGGGTGTCTGCCATTTCTGAGGCTTGAACAGGTAAACAAAGCAGCCAGGGAAGCTCGAACTGGGCAGAGCCCACCACAGCTAGCAAGGCCTGCCACCTCTTTTGAATCCACCTCTAGGGGCAGGGCATAGGTGAACAAAAGGCAGTGGAAACTTCTGCAGACTTAAACGTCCCTGTCTGACAGCTCTGAAGAGAGCAGTGGTTCTCCCAGCATGGCGTTTGAGCTCTGAGAATGGGCAGACTGCCTTCTCAAGTTGGTCCCTGACCCCCATGTAGCCTAACTGGGAGACACCTCCCAATAGGGGCCAACTGACACCTCATATAGGTGGGTGGCCCTCTAGGATGAAGTTTCCAGAGGAAGGATCAGGCAGCAATATTTGATATTCTGCAATATTTGCTGTTCTGCAGCCTCCGCTGGTGATACCCAGGCAAATAGCACCTGGAGCGGACCTCCAGCAAACTCCAACAGACCTGCAGCTGAGGGACCTGACTGTTAGAAGGAAAACTAACAGAAAGGAATAGCATCGACATCAACAAAAAGGACATCTGCACCAAAACCCCATCTGCAGGTCACCAACGTCAAGGAACAAAGCTAGATAAAACCACAAAGATGGAGAGAAACCAGAGAAGAGAAGCTGAAAATTCTAAAAACCAGAGTGACTCTTCTCCTTCGAAGGATCACAGCTCCTCACCAGCAATGGAACAAAGCTGGTTGGAGAATGACTTTGACAAGATGACAGTAGTAGGCTTCAGAAGGTTGGTAATAACAAACCTCTGCGAGTTAAAGGAGGATGTTTGAACCCTTCGCAAGGAAGCTAAAAACCTTGAAAAAAGATTGGATGAATGGCTAACTAGAATAACCAATGCAGAGAAGTCCTTAAATGACCTGATGGAGCTGAAAACCATGGCACGAGAACTACATGATGCATGGACAATCTTCAGTAGCCTATTTGATGAAGTGGAAGAAAAGGTATCAGTGATTGAAGATCAAATTAATGAAATAAAGCAATAAGAGAAGTTTACAGAAAAAACAGTGAAAAGAAATGAGCAGAGCCTCCAAGAAATATGGGACTATGTGAAAAGACCAAATCTATGTCTGATTGGTGTACCTGAAAGTGATGTGGAGAATGGAACCAAGTTGGAAAACACTCTTCAGGATATTATCCAGGAGAACTTCCCCAATTTAGCAAGGTAGGCCAACATTCAAATTCAGGAAATACAGAGAACACAATAAAGATGCTCATTGAGAAGAGCAACCCCAAGACACATAATTGTCAGATTCACCAAGGTTGAAATGAAGGAAAAAATGTTAAGGGCAGCCAGAGAGAAAGGTCAAGTTACCCACAAAGGGAAGCCCATCAGACTAACAGCGGATCTCTTGGCAGAAACTCTACAAGCCAGAAGAGAGTGGGGGCTGATATTCAACATTCTTAAAGAAAAGAATTTTCAACCCAGAATTTCATATCCAGCCAAATTAAGCTTCATAAGTGAAGGAGAAATAAAATTCTTTACAGACAAGCAAATGTGGAGAGATTTTGTCACCACCAGGCCTGCCCTAAAAGAGCTCCTGAAGGAAGCGCTAAACATGGAAAGGGACAACCGGTACTAGCCACTGGAAAAACATGCCAAATTGTAAAGACCATTGATGCTAGGAAGAAACTGCATCAACTAATGAGAAAAATAACCAGCTAACATCATAATGACAGGATCAAATTCACACATAACAATATTAACCTTAAATGTAAATGGGCTAAATGCCCCCAATTAAAAGACACAGACTGGCAAATTGGATAAAGAGTCAAGACCCATCAGTGTGCTGTATTCAGGAGACCCATCTCAAGTGCAGAGACACACGTAGGCTCAAAATAAAGGGATGGAGGAAGATCTACCAAGCAAATGGAAAACAAAAAAAAGCAGGGGTTGCAATCCTAGTCTCAGATAAAACAGACTTTAAACCAATAAAGATTAAAAGAGACAAGGAAGGCCATTACATAATGGTAAAGGGATCAATTCAACAAGAAGAGCTAACTATCCTAAATATATATGCACCGAATACAGGAGCACACAGATTCATAAAGTGAGTCCTGAGTGACCTACAAAGAGACTTAGACTCCCACACAATAATAATGGGAGACTTTCACACTCCACTGTCAATATTAGACAGATCAACGAGACAGAAAGTTAGCAAGGATATCCAGGACTTGAACTCAGCTCTGCACCAAGCAGACCTAATAGACATCTGCAGAACTCTCCACCCCAAATCATCAGAATATACACATTCTTCACAGCACCACATGGCACTTATTCTGAAATTGACCACATAGTTGGAAGTAAAGCACTCCTCAGCAAAAGTAAAAGAACAGAAATCACAACAAACTGTTTCTTAGAACACAGTGCAAGCAAACTGGAACTCAGGATTAAGAAACTCACTCGAAACTGCACAACTACATGGAAACTGAACAACCTGCTCCTGAATGACTACTGGGTAAATTACAAAAGGAAGGCAGAAATAAAGATGTTCTTTGAAGCCAATGAGAACAAAGACACAACATACCAGAATCTCTGGGACACATTTAAAGCCGTGTGTAGAGGGAAATTTATAGCACTAAATGCCCATAAGAGAAAGCAGGAAAGGTCTAAAATCGACATCCTAATATCACAATTAAAAGAACTAGAGAAGCAAGAACAAACAAATTCAAAAGCTAGAGAAAACAAGAAATAACTAAGAACAGAGCAGAACTGAAGGAGATAGAGTTACAAAAAACCCTTCAAAAAAATCAATGAATCCAGGAGCTGGTTTTTTGAAAAGATCAACAAAATTGATAGACCGCTAGCAAGACTAATAAAGAAGAAAAGAGAGAAGAATCAAATAGATGCAATAAAAAATGATAAAGGGGATATCACCACCAATCCCACAGAAATACAAACTACCATCAGAGAATACTATAAACACCTCTACGCAAATAAACTAGAAAATGTAGAAGAAATGAATGAATTCCTGGATACATACACCCTCCCAAGACTAAACCAGGAAGAAGTTGAATCTCTGAATAGACCAATAACAGGCTCTGAAATTGAGGCAATAATTAACAGCCTACCAACCAAAAAAAGTCCAGGACCAGAAGGATTCACAGCCGAATTCTACCAGACATACAAGGAGGAGATGGTACCATTCCTTCTGAAACTATTCCAATCAATAGAAAAAGAGGGAGTTTTCCCTAACTCATTTTATGAGGCCAGCATCATCCTGGTACCAAAGCCTGGCAGAGACACAACAAAACAAGAGAATTTTAGACCAATTTCCCAGATGAACATCGATGCCAGTATCCTCAATAAATACTGGCAAACCGAATCCAGCAGCACATCAAAAAGCTTATCCACGATGAACAGGTGGGCTTCATCCCTGGGATGCAAGGCTGGTTCAACATATGCAAATCAGTAAACATAATCCATCACATAAACAGAATCAATCACAAAAACCACAAGATTATCTCAATAGATGCAGAAAAGGCCTTTGACACAATTCAACAGCTCTTCATGCTAAAAACTCTCAATAAACTAGGTATTGATGGAACATATCTCAAAATAATAAGAGCTATTTATGACAAACCCACAGGCAACATCGTACTGAATGGACAAAAACTGGAAGCATTCCCTTTGATTACTGGCACAAGAAAGGGATGACCTCTCTCACCACTCCTATTCAACACAGTGTTGGAAGTTCTGGCCAGGGCAATCAGGCAGAGAAAGAAATAAAAGGTATTCAATTAGGAAAAGAGGAAGTCAAATTGTCCCTGTTTGCAGATGACATGATTGTATATCTAGAAAACCCCATCATCTCAGCCCAAAATCTCCTTAAGCTGATAAGCAACTTCAGCATAGTCTCAGAATACAAAATCAGTGTGCAAAAATCACAAGCATTCTTATATACCAATAACAGACAAACAGAGAGCCAAATCATGAGTGAACTTCCATTCACAATTGCTACAAAGAGAATAAAATTCCTAGGAATCCCAGTTACAAGGGATGTGAAGGACCTCTTCAAGGAGAACTACAAACCACTGCTCAACGAAATAAAAGAGGACACAAACAGATGGAAGAACATTCCATGCTCATGGATAAGAAGAACCAATATCATGAAAATGGCCATACTGCCCAAGGTAATTTATAGATTCAATGCCATCCCATCAAGCTACCAATGACTTTTTCCACAGAATTGGAAAAAAACTACTTTAAAGTTCATATGGAAGCAAAAAAGAGACCGCATAGCCAAGACAATCCTAAGCATAAAGAACAAAGTTGGAGGCATCACGCTACCTGACTTCAAACTATACTACAAGGCTACAGTAACTGAAACAGCATAGTACTGGTACCAAAGCAGAGATATAGACCAATGGAACAGAGCAGAGCCCTCAGAAATAATACCACACATCTATAACCATCTGATCTTTGACAAACCTGACAAAAACAAGCAATGGGGAAAGGATTCCCTATTTAATAAATGGTGCTGGGAAAACTGGCTAGCCATATGTAGAAAGCTGAAACAGGATCCCTTCCTTACACCCTATACAAAAATTAATTCAAGATGGATTAAAGACTTAAACATTAGACCTAAAACCATAAAAACCCCAGAAGAAAACCTAGGCAATACCATTCAGGACATAGACGTGGGCAAGGACTTCATGTCTAAAACACCAAAAGCAATGGCAACAAAAGCCAAAATTGACAAATGGAATCTAATTAAACTAAAGAGTTTCTGCACAGGAAAAGAAACTGCTGTAAGAGTAAACAGGCAACCTACAGAATGGGAGAAAATTTTTGCAATCTACTCATCTGACAAAGGGCTAATATCCAGAATCTACAAAGAACTTAAATTTACAAGAAAAAAACAACCCCATCAAAAAGTGGGCAAAGGTTATGAACAGACACTTCTCAAAAGAAGACATTTAGGCAGGCAAAAGACACATGAAAAAATACTCATCATCACTGGCCATCAGAGAAATGCAAATCAAAACCACAATGAGATACCATCTCACACCAGTTAGAATGGCGATCATTAAAAAGTCAGGAAACAACAGGTGCTGGAGAGGATGTGGAGAAATAGGAACACTTTTACACTGTTGGTGGGACTGTAAACTAGTTCAACCATTGTGGAAGACAGTGTGGTGATTCCTCAGGGATCTAGAACTAGAAATACCATTTGACCAAGTGATCCCATTACTGGGTATATACCCAAAGGATTATAAATCATGCTGCTATAAAGACACATGCACACGTATGTTTATTGCGGCACTATTCACAATAGCAAAGACTTGGAACCAACCCATATGTCCGTCAATGATAGACTGGATTAAGAAAATGTGGCACATATACACCATGGAATACTATGCAGCCATAAAAAATGATGAGTTCATGTCCTTTGTAGGGACATGGATGAAGCTGGAAACCATCATTCTCAGCAAACTATCGCAAGGACAAAAAACCAAACAGTGCATGTTCTCACTCATAGGTGGGAATTGAACAATGAGAACACATGGACACAGGAAGGGGAACATCACACACTGGGGCTTTTCATGGGGTGGGGGGCTGGGGGAGGGATAGCATTAGGAGAAATACCTAATGTAAATGACGAGTTAATGGGTGCAACCAACCAACATGACACATGTATATCTATGTAACAAACCTGCACGTAATGCACATGTACCCTAGAACTTGAAGTATAATTTAAGAAAATGTAAACTAATGGAATATATATCTTCTGTCAGTTCTGTCCCTCCAGAGAACCCTGACTAATACAGATTTTGATACCAGGAGGGGTTCTAGAGGAACAGAATATTACGGATGACATTCTTTTGCTGGTTTTGGGGTTTCTGGAGTTGGCTGCTTAATATTATTAGACCAAAAATCCTAAGGAGTCTGCTTCTAATAGTATGGAGAACACCAATAGTCCTTGGCATGAACTGTTTAAAAAGTTATGCAAAATAAATGCATTTGACACTCCTGAACCTGATTCATCACTTATGAGAGGCGAGGAGTTTAGTGGCTCTATACATAATACCTTTGACCATATGTGGAGAACTGAGGAGCATAATGAAGCTGATTGTTTGCTCCTAAGTTCCATGGGCAAAGTGATGAAAGAAAATGATGAACTCAGGAATTCTGTCTCCCAGCTTCAGAAGCAGATACTGAGCTTCAAATCTGCTAAGATTGCCTTGAATGAGAGTCTCATCACCTGTAGAGAAAAAGCTGAAATGGTGGAAAAACAGGGACATTCTCTTATGATGCAAGTGGCTGACCTGAAACAAAAGGTGCATGCACAGCCTCGGCAGGTGTCTACTGTTAAAGTGAGGGCATTGATTGGAAAAGAATGGGACCCTGCAACTTGGAATGGGGACATGTGGGAGGACCCTGATGAAGCTGGGGATGCTGAGTTTGTAAACTCTGATGAAATTTTTTTGCCAGAAGAAACAGCTTCCCCACCCCCAGTAGTGGCAAAATCCCCTCCCCGACCCATGCTGCAGTCAGCCTTTCCACATTTGTCTGAGGAGATAAATCCTGTGCTTCCTGAGACAGCAGTGATGGCCTCCCCTGAGGCAGTTGCTAGGCAAGATAATGCTGATTCTCCTCAGGAGCCACCCCTAACACCCCTGTTTGCTTCTTGACCTATAACTAAAGTCCCAGATGGGCCCCTAGAGGTGAGGTTGGGAGTGTGACCCGTGAGGAGATGTGCCTACACTAGAAAAAAGCTGCTTGAGTTTTCTTATTTATATAAACGGAAATCTGGAGAACAGGCATGGGAATGGTTATTAAGGGTATGAGATGATGGTGGAAGGAACACAGAGTTGGATCAGGCTAAATTTATTGATTTGGGCCCACTAACTAGGGAGTCTGTATTTAATGCTGCAGCTCGGGAGTTAAAAAAAGGTTCTAATAGTTTATTTGCTTGGTTAGCTGAAATATGGATTAGAAAATGTTCCACTGTGAGCGAGCTGGAAATGCCTGATCTCCCTTGGTTTAATATAGAAGAAGGGATCCAAAGACTTAGGGAGATTGAGATGGTGGAGTGAATTAGTCACTTTAGACCTATTCATCCCAGCTGGGAGGGTGCAGAAGATATACCCTTGACCTATGCCTTGTGAAATAGATTTGTGAGGGCAGCACCTGAATCTTTGAACAGCCCTGTATTTGCTCTTCTCTGTATGTCAGATCTAACAGTGGAAACTGCACTCACTCAGCTACAAAATTTAAATGCAATGGGAATAATTGGATCTCGAAGTGGCAGGGGCCAAGTGGCGGCACTCAACCATCAAAGGTAAGGTTGGTGAAGCTACCATATTGGACAGCAGAGGCAAAGCAGCAATCAGAATAGTCTGACTCATTTAGAGCTCTGGCATTGGCTCATTTATCATGATGTTCCTGGAAGTGAAATTGATAGGAAGCCTACTGCATTCTTTCTTAATTTATACAAGCAGAAAACTTCTAGGTCAAATGGACAAAAGACTAATTTGAATTATATAAACAGAGAATCATGGCCCCTCAATTTACAGAATTGAGCCAGTTTACAGACCCAGAACCCCTTGAATGAATGGGGAGGCTGGTCCCCTTGAGGAAGGACCCCACTACATTACCAACAATTTATGCAGTGACTCTTTCTCCCATCCTTCCCCAAGGAGACCTCTGGCCTTTTACCAGGGTAACTGCATTGAGGAAAGGGGAATGATCAGACCTTTCAGGGACTACTGGACACTGACTCTGAGCTAACATTAATCCTAGGGGACCCCAAACATCACTGTGGTCCTCCAGTTAAAGTAGCGGCTTATGGAAGTCCAGTGATTAATGTAGTTTTAACTCAGGTCCGACTTGCGGTGGGTCCATTGCATCCCCGGACTCATCATGTGGCCATTTTCCCAGTGCCAGAATGCGTAATTGGCATGGACATACTTCACAGCTGGCACTACCCTCACATTGGCTCCCTGGCTGGTAGGATGAGGGCTATAATGGTGGGAAAGGCTAAAAGGAAGCCATTAGAGCTGCCTCTACCTCGAAAAATAGTAAACCATAAACAACATTGCATCCCTAGAGGGACTGCAGAGATTAGTGCCACCATGAAGGACTTGAAAGATGCAGGGGTGGTGATTCCCCCCACATCCCCATTCAGTTCTCCCATTTGGCCTGTGCAGAAGACGGATGGATCTTGGAGAATGACAGTGGATTATTGTAAGCATAACCAAGTGGTGACTTCAGTTGCAGCTGCTGTACCAGATACGGTTTCATTGCTTGAGTGAATTAACACATCTCCTGGTACCTGGTATGCAGCCACTGACTTGGCAAATGCCTTTTATCTCCATTCCTGCCCATAAGGGCCACTAGAAGCAATTTGCCTTCAGCTGGCAAGGCCAGCAATATACCTTCACTGCCCCACCTCAAGGATACATCAACTCTCCAAATTGGTGTCATAATCTTATTAGGAGAGACCTTGATTGCTTTTCACTTCTGTAAGGTATCACACTGGTCCATTACATTGATGACATTATGCTGGTTGGATCCAGTGAGCAAGAAGTAGCAAACACACTGGACTTACTAGAGAGACATTTGCATGCCAGAGGATGGGAAATACGTCTGACTAAAATTCTGGGAACTCCTACCTCAGTAAAATTTCTAGGGGTCCAGTGGTGTGGGGCTGGTCGAGATATTCCTTCTAAGGTGAAGGATAAGTTGCTGCATTTGGCCCCTCCTACAACCGAGATGGAGGCACAATGCCTAGTAGGCCTATTTGGATTTTGAGTGTGTTACTCCAGCCCATTTATGAAGTAACCTGAAAGGCTGCCAGTTTTGAGTGGGGTCCAGAAAAGGGGAAGGCACTGCAACAGGTCCAGGCTACTGTGTAAGCTGCTCTGCCATTTGGGCCATACAACCCAGCAGATCCAATGGTGCTTGAGGTGTCAGTGGCATATAAAAATGCTGTTTGGAGCCTTTGGCAGACCCCTATAGATGAATCACAGCAGAGGCCTCTAGCATTTTAGAGCAAGACCCTGCCCTCTTCTGCAGATAACTAGTCTCCTTTTGAGTGACAGCTCTTGCCACGTTACCGGGCTTTGGTGGAAACTGAACATTTGACTATGGGTCATGAAGTCACCATGTGACCTGAACTGCCTATCATGAACTGAGTGCTTTCTAACCCATCTAGCCATAAAGTGCGTCATGCACAGCAACATTCCATTATCAAGTGGAAGTGGTATATACGCGATCGGGCTGGAGCAGTTCCTGAAGGCACAAGTAAGTTACATGAGCAAGTGGCTCACATACCCATGGTCTCCACTCTTCCTCCCATCCTGCCTTCTTTCCACAGCCTGCACCAATGGCCTCATGGGGAGTTCCGTATGATCAGTTGACAGAGGAAGAGAAGACTAGGGCCTGGTTCACAGATGGTTCTGCATGATATGCAGGCACCACCTGAAAGTGGATAGCTGCAGGACTGTAGCCCTCTTTCTTTTTTCCTTTTTTTTTTTGAGATGGAGTCTGGGTCTGTCACCCAGACTGGAGTGCAGTGGCATGATCTCGGCTCACTGCAACCTCCACCTCCCAGATTCAGGGGATTCTCCTGCCTCAGCTTCCCGAGTAGCTGGGACTACAGGTGCCTGCCACCACGCCAGGCTAATTTTTGTATTTTTAGTAGAGACAGGGTTTAAACATGTTGGCCAGGCTGATCTCAAACTCCTGACCTCAGGTGATCCGCCTTGCCTCAGCCTCCCAAAGTTCTGGGATTACAGGCGTGAGCCACCACGCCTGGCCATGCAAGCTAATTTTTGTATTTTTAGTAGAGATGGGGTTTCACCATATTCGCCAGGCTGATCTCGAACTCCTGACTTTGTGATCTGTCCACCTCAGCCTCCCAAAGTGCTGGGATTACAGGCAAAAACCACTGCGCCTGGACCCTTTCTAGGACATCATTGAAGGATAGCGTGAAGTGAAATCTTCCCAGTGGGCAGAACTTTGAGCAGTGTACCTGGTCGTGCATTTTACGTAGAAGGAGAAATGGCCAGATGTACAATTACATACTGATTGATTGGCTGTATCCAGTGGTTTGGCTGGATGGTCAGGGATTTCAAAGAAGCATGATAGAAAAATTGGTGACAAAGAAATTTGGCGAGGAGGTATGCAGATGTACCTGTCTGAGTGATCAAAAACTATAAAGATGTTTGTATCCCATGTGAGTGCTCACCAACGGGTGACCTCAGCAGAGGAGAATTTAAATAATCAAGTGGATCGAATGACTCGTTCTGTGGTCACCACTCAGCCTCTTTCCCCAGCCACCTCTGTCATCTTCCAATGGCCCCATGAAAAAAATGGCCAGGGTGGCAGGGATGGAGGTTACATATGGACTCAGCAACATGGACTTCTGCTCACCAATGCTGACCTGGCTATGGTCACTGCTGAGTGCCCAGTTTGCCAGCAGCAGAAAGCAACGCTGAACCCTCGATGTGGCACCAATCCTCAGGGTTATCAGCCAGCTGCCTGGTGGCAGGTTGATTATACTGGACCTCTTCTATCATGGAAAGGGCAGAAGTTCGTCATCACTGGAATAGACAGTTACTCCTGATATAGGTTTGCCTATCCGTTGCATGCCTAAGCATTGCATGCGATGCTTCTGCCTAGACTACCATCCATGGATTCATGGAATGCTTCATCCACCGTCATGCTATTCCACACAGCATTGCCTCCGATCAAGGCACTCACTTTATGGCTAAAGAAGTGTGGCAGTGGGTCCATGCTCATGGAATTCACTGGTCTTATCATATTCCCCATGATCCTGAAACAGCTGGATTGCTAGAATGGTGGAATGGCCTTTTGAAGTCAAAATTACAATGCTAATTAGGTGACATTACTTTGCAGGGCTCAGGCACAGTTCTCCATAAGGCCATGTATGCTCTGAATCAGCATCCAATATATGGTACTGTTTCTCCCACAGCCAGGATTCAGCAGTACAGGAAGCAAGGGGTGGAAGTGGAAGTGGCACCACCCACCATCACCCCTCATGATCCACTAGCAAAATTTTTGCTTCCTGTTCCTGTGACATTACGTTCTGCTGGCCTAGAGGTCTTAGTTCCAGAGGGAGGAACACTGCCACCAGGAGACGCAACAATGATTCCATTAAACTGGAAGTTCAGATGGCCTCCTGGACACTTTGGGCTCCTCCTACCTTTAAGTCAACAGGTTAAGAAGAGAGTTACAGTACTGGCTGAGGTGATCGACCCAGACTATCAAGATTAAATCAGCCTACTATTCCACAATGAAGGTAAGGAAGAGTATGCATGGACTACAGGAGATCCATTAGGGCATCTCTTAGTATTACCATGCCCTGCGATTAAAGTCAATGGGAGACTACAACACCCCAATCCAGGCAGGAATATAAATGACCCAGACCCTTCAGGAATGAAGGTTTGGGTCACTCCACCAGGAAAATCACCATGACAGGCTGAGGTGCTTGCTGAAGGCAAAGGGAATACAGAATGGGTAATAGAAGAAGATAGTCATCAATACCAGCTATGACCATGTGACCAGCTGCAGAAATGAGGACTGTAATTGTCGTATTTCCTTCTTCTTTTGTTAAAAACATGTTTTTGTGCATGTATACACTTGTACTAAGAAAATATCTTCCTTTTATTTCCTTCTTTATGATGTGGAATACGATTTATTGACTTCATATCAGCATTTAAGTATTGTTAACTTTATGTAATAGTATTTGGGTTGGGGATTGGTGCGTTTCTGGTCATATGAAGGATAGCTGTATTATGTTAGGTATAATTATGACTTTATTATTGTCTTTATTTGAAGATTATGATGATGTCAGGAGATGTGTATGGGTTCAAGTTGACAAGGGGTGGTCTTGTGATGGTTAATACTGAGTGTCAACTTGACTGGATTGAAGGATACAAAGTATTAATCCTGGGTGTGTCTATGAGGGTGTTGCCAAAGGATATTAACATTTGAGTCAGTGAGCTGGGAAGGGCAGACCCATCCTTAATCTGGGTGTGCACAGTCTAATCTGCTGCCAGCATGGCTAGAATATAAGCAGGCAGAAAAATGTGAAAAGAGAGACTGGCTTAGCCTCCCAGCCTACATGTTTCTCGTGTACTGGATGCTTCCTGCCCTGGAACAGCAGACTCTAAGTTCTTCAGTTTTGAAACTCGGACTGGTTCTCCTTACTCCTCAGTCTGCAGATTGCATATTGTGAGGCCTTCGGATTATGTGAATTAATACTTAATAAACTCCCCCTTATATATATCTGTTCCATTAGTTCTGTCCGTCTAGAGAACCCTGACTAATACAGCTATGTACATTCCCAGGGTAACATGCATACTCAGAAAAGACCTGAGAAGAATTGAAGCTTTCACTTCAGGTTGATTCCTAGGTTCAGAGAAGCCTAGCTAAGTATTGAAGAAGTACCCTGATAGAGAGGCAATCCGCAAAGACCGAAAGAGATTTTCTTTCTTTTTTTCTCTTCCTTCTTTTTTTTTTTTCTCCTAATGTTCAAGCAAGGAAATCTTTGTCAAACTATTAGCATGAGCTAAAGGAAACACTTCACATTAAAACTAACAGTCTTTGCAAAAATTTTCTGGAAAAGGCTCAAAACAGGAAGATCACTATAGCCTTTGACAGTCAAAAACAAAGAAAACAAAAAAGAAAAACAAAACCCCTCAGCAAATCCTGGAGAAGGAAGATAACTTAATTCCCACAGTTGCTACATTATAATGGTCAAATGCCCAGTTTTCAGCAATAAATGACAAGACATGAAAAGAAATGGGAAAATACGACTCATTCAAAAGAGCAAAATGTTGATTCTGACACAAACAGTCCCTGAGGCATCCTAGGCATTGGATTTACTAGGTAAGACCTTAAAACAACTCTCTTAAATATGTCAAAAGACCTAAAGGAAAACGTGGACAAAGAACTAAAGGAAATCAGAAAATTAATGTATGAACAAAATGAGAATATGAGTAAAAAAAGATAAAAATTATAAAAAGGAACCAAACATAAATTCTGGAACTAAAAATCACATTAACAGAAATAAAAAGTTGACTAGAGGAATTCAAAGATTCAAAGCAGATTTGAGAAGGCAGAATAAAGAATTAACAAACTCAAAGATTAAGTAATTGAAATGATCAGATCTGAAGAGCAGAAATAAAAGAATGAAGCAAAATGAACAGATGCTAAAGGACTTGTGGAACATAATCAAGAAGACCAGCATATGCGTTATGGGAGTCCCATACCCCTTATGAATATTGAGTCAAAAAATTTTAACAAAATACTAGCAAACTGAATTCAGTAGCATATTAAAAGGATTACACATCATGACCAAGTGGGATTTATTGTTGTAAAGCATGGATGGTTCAAATATGAAATCAATTGATGTAATACATCACATTAACAAAATGAAATGGAAAAACCATATGATTATTTCAATTGATGCAGAAATAACAGTTGACAAAATTCTAAACTCTTCCATAATACACTTAATAAACTAGGTATAGAAACTTATTTAGTGTTATGAAGGACATATGTGCAAAACACACAGCTAGTACCATACTCAGTGGTACTGAAGGCTAAATATTTTTCCCTAAATTTAGGAACTAGGAAAGGATGCCATTTGTACCTTTCTACTAAAAAAAAAAAAAAAAAAAAAAAAAAAAAAAAAAAAGCACTGGAAGTTATAGTCAAAACAATTAGGAAAGAAAAGGAAACAAAAAAGACATCCAAAGTGGAAAGAAAGTAAAATTACCTCCATTCACAGATGACATAATCTTACAAAACCCCAAAGATTCCACAAAAAAAAGTTAGAGAAAATAAACTGAGCAAAGTAGCAGAATTCAAAATCAACACACATATCAGCTGCATTTCTATATATGACCAATGAACAATTCAAAAAGGAAATTTAGAAATCAATTTCATTTACAATAGCATCAAATCAATAAAATACTTAAGAATTAACTTGACCAAGGAGACAAAATAATTGTACACAAAAAACTATAAAATATTGCTGAAAGGGATTAAAGACATGAATGGAAAGGCATTTCATGTTTGTGGCCTGGAAGACTTACTATTGTTAAGATGACCCAAAGTAATCTGTGAATATAATGCAGTAACTATCAAAATATCAATAATGTTGAAATTCTAGAAGTAGAAAAATTCCAGAAATAGAAATTCCAGAAATCCAATGCTAGAGATAAAATAAAAAAAAAAAAAAAACCTCTTAAATTTCATATGGAATCCCAAGGGACTCCAAATGGCCACAATAGTCTTGAAAAAGAAGAAAAAAGTTGATGGACTAGCACTGTTAAAGCTTATTACGAAGCTACAGTAATCAAAATGGTGTGTTACTGGCCGTAAGACAGACACATAGAACAATGTCATGTGGCAGAGAGCCCAGAAACAAACCCTTGCATAAACAGTCAAAATTTTTAAGGTCAAGAAAAACGTGGCTCTGCACTGGATGTGGGAGACACTTGGGATTAGTACCAAAATGCCTTGTCTGATAGCATCTTTGCACTGTACATGGAAAAATGTGGACATTGACCTAAGAATTACATTTTAAAAGAAACAAAGCTATAAAAGTAACTGTAAACTTCTACTGGGTATTGTGTTTTAGTTTTTTGTTGTTGTTGTTAATTGTATGAATTGAAGAAAGAGAAACTATGGGATGTAAAGATAGGGTGAGAAACAAACAGCTAAGGATCACAATCTGTGTTTAGTCTATGTTCTTGGAAGCAGCATATTTTATTTGTCCAGCAGAAACAGTAGAATGTCTCAGAGATTTCAAAGTAGAGAAAAGTGATAAAGAGTAATACTATGTTTTAAAATAGTTTACCTCCTATAAAAGAGAAAGCTCAGGCAGATATTACCTCTTTATTTCTCCATGTGGATAAGTGTGATCTGTCACACATGAGCTAATGATTCCAAGGTTGTGGATGGGACCCTTGACTACATATTGTCTTTTTGACTCTCACTCAACCATCATGTCAAGTGTGGTGGGGTTGATGTGAATTCACGACCAATGTCAGGAAAACCAGTAGAAAATATGTAAGTTAATCACAGTGAGCTGGACGTGTATGAAAGGGTCAAAACAACAGCATGTTCTATGAGGGCTAGGATGAGTATAAAAAAGCAGATATTTGAAAGGTCTTGACTGTTTGTGTGTACTTTTAAGGATAATAAAGGAGAAATACATATGAAAAATTTTAGAGCAATTTTTTGCCATCTCATTTGTTCCTTAAACTCTTGACTTTTTTCCTTGAAGATTGCTTTGTAACTTCTGAAACATCACCAAAAGTAGAAGCAACGTATACACCAAGAACACTTGGGTGTGTAGAAGTTTTCAACATGCAGGCATTATTAAAGCACAACTTTATAGCCCAAGCAAAGCAAGGCCCTGAGTTAATTATTTCTCTAAGCAAGTCAACAAATTGATTCCAAGAAAAAAAAATCTGGAGCTGATGTGTTCAAACAAGTTTCTGTGCATGTAGACAGGTTACATTTTCTGCATGTAACCTACTCCTATTATTATTATTTTGGCTCTGAGATTTCTAAAAAATTTTTCCTACTCAGTTTGAATCTAAATTCTTTTAGCTCTTTAAAATATAATGGGAGTCTTAGTTGGACTACTACAAAAACATTATCTGGGAGCCTAAAGATCTATTTCAGTCATTTCAAAAATATTTTCACAGTAACTTATTTCTTGGTAAATGTGACATTGTGAAATAGAAATAATTTTAACATTTTTACTGAATCTCAATGGTATAATGGCAGGTCCAGACTTAAAGTATTTGTAAGCCATCAGCTTGCCCTGCGGGGATTGGGAGCTATGGATCAAGGGAAGAAATGGTTGCTAGAAGGCCATGGGATTGATGGAAAGACATTGTCGATTAGTGCTGTTGCATATTTGCTATTTCTTCCCTGTTATTTTGCTGTAGAATTTCTGCATAATATACTTTTCCTTCTAGTCACATTGGTTTTATCTTTCCTTAAAGCCTCTGTGCATTTATACTAGTAACAAACTTTTATGTTGAAATATCTACCAGTTTTTAAAAGTAACTCTTTTCAAGAATAATAAACTATCATGGCTCCCTAGATCAGGGAGTAAGAACCCCAGAACTATTCATTGAGTGAGTTAATATTTAGATAAAACGTTTATTTTTTCAATCATAATTGTATAAAGTCTTCAAAATCATTCTTGTACCCTAGAACAACCACATATATAAGGAACTAGATGACTATATCTGACTGGAGTTGTATATCTCCCTCCTTGGGTTACATGTAGACATTCGTGAGAACAGGAGATCATCTTAAACTTTGCCCCCACTTCAGCCTGGAGTTTCCTGGAGAAAGATGTAATTGAAGTCTTGTTGCTTCCAGAATAATTGTGCTTTATTATTATACCTTTCTGGTTTTTTTTTTACACTTTATTGAAGGTTAAATTAAGCTATTAGTATGTGTTACCTGACAGATAAATTGCTTTTTTTGTCTCAGTTCTGAGTAGGATTTTAAAAATAAGTTTACAGTTAAGGTTGGATTGCCTTCTTTTTTATTGAAAGGTTTAATTTTCTTAAGAATTCTGTAATGTAATTGTATGGTAAAAATAAACTGAATACTGTTTTATTTATCCTTTGATTAATCATGCTAATTAAGGTCCACCTTCACAAATCCTTTGATTTCAGATTCTTCTATGGCATCAAAGTTTCTTTCCTTTCTAATCAAGCCCTTAAAAAAGCTGGGTGTAGTTACATATCTCACAATTTTTAACATCCAAAATATTTATGACTAATAAGACGAAAATGTAGGAAAGAAAGGAATTCATTAAGATTGTGTCCAATATAGTTAGTATAACAACTTTTTATTCTTATAACCCATCCACGATAATATAGTAACATTCCTTTTTATTACTTGTCGATTACAGATTCTCAAGGAGATCACCAAAAAAACTTTGCTTTGATCAAGCAAAGCCAAATTTGTCAGATTTACTGGAGTAAGAAAGAACATCATTTCGATAGATAGATAGATCGACTGATTGATCAATCTATAGACAGAGAGGTAGGTGGCTGGCTGGCTGGATTGATAGATGAATAGATGAATGGATAGATGGATAGACTGGCAAATAAACAGGTGGATACATAGGGAGAAATAAAGAAGAAAGAAAGAAAGTCTTAGTAGTTTATCAGAAGAAGGAAGTCAGGAGTAGAAGTAGGAACATGGTTTGGTGGTTTGAGCTCAAGTGGATTAAGGCAGGTCTTTCAAGGCAGGGAACTGATTGGGACTGGACAAATTCGTGGCATAAATAGAATTTGTGGATATAGCAAGATAAGAGTCTTCTCACAAGTTGTAATAAGTAGAAAAGAGCTGTTTGCTCAAGTGAGCGATCTATTGTCTCAGTAGGAGAGCTATTTGTGCACACAAGCAAACTGTTAGCCTAGAAAAATTGGTTTGCAAGTTTCTTGAAGCAAACAGGGAAGTATTGTATTTGTTTAAGGTTTTTATCTTCCTAGAACAAACTGCCAAAGTACGTTGACATAGGTGGTCCCAGTTCTTAGTCTCAAAAGATAAGCTATGTTGATACAGGTTGTCGCAATATCTGGCTGTTTTCAATCATACCATCTTTAAACCCCTTAGAATTAAGAGATGGTAAGTATGTGTTAATGTTCAGATATGAGTCTTCCTTCAAATTGCTCCAGTATAACTAGATTTTCTCCCACAGTAGAGCAGAAAAGCTAAGAATACATTGGAACTCTTAGTGTGCTGGTTGTCTGCTTATACCAGCTGTCAAGCTGCTGTTTTGTTAATAAGTTTACTGGGACATCTATTTTATACAGCATCACATCACAGCCAGAACGAAACATGGAAATACCTAGGCAGATGTTTAGCCTCATAGGGAAGAACTTCCAAGGATGCCAGCTCAAGTGAAACGGGAGTTCAATCACTCCTTTCTAATTATTCTGGAGAAAACAGGAAAACTGATGGAGAAGGCAGAAAGGATAGTGGGGGGCTGGATATCCGGGGCTCGAAAAATAGCATCAAACTGAGTTTTCTCCATTCATGATTTAACAAGGCTACTTAAAGGAATCCTTTTAAGTAGAGTTGAAACTGTAATTCAACGTTAAGCTACTAGAATGAAAAGAATACTGCGAGTTTTGTTACTAAAATGAATATTACCAAACACAAGGAGGAGGCCTCTTGAATACCATGCTGGACTGTAGAGAAATGGCATGGAGTACCCTTTGAAATCAAATCCAAGAGAAGGAAAATTGGATGGAGGAAGATCATGGGAAATCATTAAGGGACTTAAGGAGGAAGAGATGAGAGAATGTTTTCCGTTTTAAGCAAGCTTGCAGATGCTTTTAGGCATCATTTAATTTCATTTCATTGGCAGGCCTTTTAGATGGCAATGGTACCTTACCCTGGCCCCTCATTCCCAAACGTTGTTCCATCCCAAAGTTACTATTTATTCCCTAGAAGTAGAGTTTCTCACCTGCTATTTCTAAAACTACTATTAATAGAGCCCTCAAAGTGCTCCTGTCTGCCGAGCAAGTAGCAGAAATAGCAACACGCTGCAATCTGCTATCGAAACTTGTCAATTAAAATAATGGATTTTTAGTTGTAAATCGTTACACAGTGTGACTTTAAAGTGAATGCATGAACTATGGTGGGGATAAAGAAAGGACAATAACAAAGAAAAACTTGTCAAATTATTCCAAAATTGGTTGGTTTTCACAGAGGGTAGGAAGAAGAATGCAGATTTTCATGAGGTTCAGGCAGGCCCAAGGGTATTAACTCTTAGGACAGACCAGGAGACCTAGGAATACTAATGCTTCTTAGTATTTTTTTAATAAAAATATTCACTTGAAATATTTTATTGATGCATACAAAACTTTTATGTTATATATAAGTGCGCATATGGATGAGTGTTCCTTAAATGAATGTCAATGTAACCAGCTCCCAGTAAAATAATAGTAACAGTGACCTACAAAACTTTTGTTTTCTTTCCTCCAGTTACAATGACCCCAGATGTAACCAGTTTTCTCTTTTCTCTTGGCATTAATTCTTATTCCCTCCTTTTCTGTTTCATGTAAGTAGAATCATATTATATTAGCTTTTTTTGAGTGCCTGGATGTTTTTGCTCAATATTACATCTGTGACATTTACCCATATTGTTGCTTGGAGCTATAGTTTCTTCCTTCTGATTGCTGAGTAGTGTTGTATTTTGTGAATTTATCACAATTTATCCATTCAACAGTTGATGGACATTTGAGAGGTTTATAGCCTTTAGCTATTACACACAATGCTGCTACAAAAATTCTTTTGTCTTTTTCTTATTTCCTGTACTTTCTCATCTGACAAAAATTCTAGTATCTGTCTTTTCTTGAACATATATGCTCTTTTTTGTTGTGTGTATTACTAAAGGTGAAATTGGTAGATCATAGGATATGTGAATATTCTGCCAATCAATCTTCCGAAGTGGTTGTACACTACACTCCTAGCAGAGTATGAAGCTCCAGTTACTCCGTATCCTTGCAAACACTTGATATTTTCTGTCCTTTTTAATGTATCATCCCTCCAATAATATTTAGAATTTTAGTCTCCCCTCCAAATGCTGTGTAGTGAGGATGAATAGTCTTTGAAGACAGCAGGGGGCCCCAGGGGCTCTAAGTCAGAACAGACCCAGATATGGTGGAGGAAAAGCTTAAAACTCTATAAAGCTTAAAACTCTTAAAACTCTATAGGGTAAAAGTATGCTAACTTCCAGAAACCTAAATTTGTGTTCTTTATTATAAAACTGAATATTCCTGTCACAGAACCTTGGTCATGAAGTTCATGTAAAAATTATCTTAAATTTACAAAAAGGGAAGTTTACACATAAAGAAAATCAAATGTCAAAGGCCATCCTTTTTAACGTCTTCTGTGGTGTTTTTGCACAAGGCTGTATTGCTTATTTATTACAGAATTGTGTGTATACACTTTTGAATGACAATATCCTAGAGCAGTCCTGATTTGTTCATTTTTATACCTCCTACTTATTTATTGATTTGTTTATTTATTATGTGACTTCTTGACTAAACTGCATTTTATAGGGGACGGAAACTGAGTCTGGCTTATTCACTTTTGTATGTCCAGTACCTTGATCTGTCTCTGGCACAGGGTAAATAACTCAATAAACATTTTGGTGAGAATAAATGAATGAATGACCACCGAAAGGGGTTTTATAAGCAAATGGAAAGAGGAGAAATGTTGCAGTTTTAGTTATTTAAATGAAAACATTTTTTATTTAAGGCAACTTAATCTGATGGTAACTAGCTTGTGTTAGACAATTTAAGACGATTCCCTTTATGGCGAGATTTTGTGAGCCTGTAGTTAAAATAAGTCTGCAGACAATCTCACCAAAGTTACGTAGGCTGGCATGTCAAGACTGAAGAGGGTAGACAGAATATATAAGACAAAATTTCAGTGCTCTTTCCTGCCTACTTATAATATTTCAGTTTCAGTGCGCTTTTCCTACGTAGTTATAATATTTGCTATTACCTCCACGTTTCCTTAAGCATCTCATCTGCACTTAAAGAAAAGTATCTAATATTGTCTTCTAGTGAAGGGGAAGCTGGTATTTTGATCCACAAAGCAGCTGCTATCTTTTGTCACTATTGTTAGTTCTTAGGAGTATTAAATTTAGATACAGAGTACCAAAGCATTATTACACACATTTATCATTTATAATTATATGACTGCAAGTTCTTCAAGAGGTCATTTTAATTTATTCCTCTATTTCCAGGGATTTAACCATTCCAGATAGATAGCTCTCTACCGGATTCCTAAAATTTTCTGTGAAATAAAATTGCATTACCTCTTTGAATCTCACACTGACAGCCTCATATCCCTAAGCTTTGGCGACCTTTGTCCATACTCAGGATATTATAGTCTGAGATTATTCCTAGTTCAGAAAAGTGCTTTCTCTTTTGAGTTTTAAAAAGCTAACTAAATGGCTTTGCTGTTTCTTGTCGCTTTCCACAGAGGCTGACCCCTGACCCGAAAGCACACTGTCCTGTCTCATCTCTAATTATGCTGGTTGCATCTCACTGCCTCCCTCATTTGCATTGCAACTCATGTAAAGGTGGATGCTGTTGTTTGCAGCCACAGGAATAGCATAGGCAGAGGTGTTGGAAACACTGTCATAGTTGTCTGAGGAAACCTCTGTCAGCATTTTTCAGAAGAAGGAAACAGCAGGAGCTTTTTATAATGTAACTTTAATTACAACGGCCAGGCCCCCTGGCATAGGCTGAGGATCTGTTTATGATACACCTGCCAAGAATCATTTGAAATGCCTCAAGACATGTGTCTCATAAGTGGTGTCACCCCCTACAGGTGCTAGCCAGCAGTTTTTTCTTTTCTTCCCCTGTCCCTGATCTCCCCTGTCCACTGTTGGTCTGGCTACTCTCAAATACATAGCAATTTAAAAGAAAATTAACAGTGAAGAGAGATGAACAAACCACTTAGTAAAGCCACGATATCTCTGACTCACCTAAATACCTTTGATTTTCAAGCTGTGGCCTAGAAATAAACATTAATAAAATAAAACAAAATGGGTCATTTCTCACCTTCTAATCCTAAATTTATTTGTGGAGATTTAGATTTTGAACATGACCTTCAAAAGCCTAGCCAGATCATGAAACCTCAGAAGACCAACCAGCAGATGGCAATACTTTGGCTTCCCCCAGGCTTCCTGATGACCTATTCTGTACAAGAGACGATTAGATTTGTTTGTAATTTGGTTTGGCCCAAAACTAATTTAGTTCTGGGTAAGGAAGTATTTAAATCAAACAAAAGAGAATGAGCAAATTTTACCTATTGGTGTTTCTAATAATAGGTAATTTTAAATTTTCTATTTAAAAATTGAAGGTAATTTTACATTTTCTCTAATCCTTGGGTAGAATATATTAGATAAGAATCACCAGTATTCCCAGTTCCCTATTTTTAACATAACTTCTTGGGACATGTTTGACTAGAAGGTTACATCAGAGAATCTTTCGACACTTAAAGGTTTAGGAACAATAACCAAAATTCAGGACAGTAATATTAAACTTCTTATGAAGTTTGTTTCATATGTGTCTGATATTTGCATAGCACTAAAGGCCTGTAAAACATTTCTAGGACTGGTGTGGTGGTTCACACATGTAATCACAACACTTTGGGAGGCCAAGGCAGGGGGATTACTTGAGCTCAGGAGTTTGAGATCAGCCTGGGCAACATGGCAAAACCCATTTCTACTGAAAAATACAAAAAATTAGCAAGGTATGGTGGTCTGTGCCTGTGGTCCCAGCTACTTGGGAGGCTGAGACAGGCACTTGAGCCTGGGAGGCAGAGGTTGCAGTGGGCCAAGATTGTGGCCCTATACTCCAGCCTGGGTAATAGAGCAAAGCTAAAAACAAAAAAAAAAAAAAGAAAAAAAAGAAAAAAAAAACAATAAAAATTTCCAAAGTAGATTTTCAAAATATTTCTGAATTTCACACTATTATTCTTGTATGGGAAATGTATCTTTGTTGCAAGAATTGGGTGATTTCAACAGAGGCATGAATGAAAGCAAATGCCTATATTTCCAGGTCTCTGAGAGGCTAAACTGACTCACACTCCAGCTGCAAAAATTAGAAGAGTTACAGGGTCTCCTTCCCTCGCCCCCGCCCCACCCGGCCCACTGAAGGCTAGCTACCCCTAATTGAGTGGGGCGGGGAGGAACTGATAGGCTTCAGTATCATGAGTTGGGTAACTGCAGTTAGTGTGCCTCAAAACACAAAATGGAAGGCATTGAGCCAAACAACTGAATATCGCATAACTCTTTCTCTAATGGAAATATAACCTGCTAATATTAATTATCAGCCAGCCACAGGACATCCAATACAAAGCATTATTATAGCTTTGTTTTTCTCCATGTATATTCTGCTAACTCATGCACACCAGGGAAGCGAGGGGATATTGGAATCGGTAGCAGATGAATGATGCATGAATCATAAATTGGATTACGTGTTGGTTTATTTAATTAGTTCATCAGAGTTCTCTGGAAACATTTAGGCATTGTGCAAAATTAATATATACAAGAATAGTTAACTGTCCAATTAGGAAAACATAAATTGGTCACATCATCTATACTGTAAAAATCACAACTGCCAAAAGAAATTAAACAAATGGTAGGCTAATAAAAAATAAATGTTTTGCAATGTATTTTGAAGGCTCTGTGCATAAAGGCACTGTCGGGGAAGTACCCTAAGGTTATTAATAAGGCAGCTTCTTCCAAATGATCTTCGTGATTTGGAATAGCCAGTCTCACCTGCATATTTTTAAAATGTACTTAGGTATTTATTGATTGACTGGTTGATGGTGTGAGGTGATCTTTTCAATAGCAGAGTTAACGTAATTTCTAAGATTTTATTTTCTACCTAAAATTATATCACAGAATGGAGACAACTGTTAGACCATATTCCTTTCTGACATATTTTTGAGAGGCTAAAAATTCTACTCGGGTTAATCATTTGTTTTGTTCCTGTCTACCTTAAAGATGACAAACTTGTTGTAGGTGGATACCACTGAATTCAGCAGTGACTATAGTTGAAAGAAAACTTAACTCACAGTAGCATACACCTTATCTTGAACTCTGGGGACTCTGGAAGGTGCTTTTCCCACTCAGTGAGCAAAATTCTTCTCTTAGTTCTGTTACTTTCAATAAACTACTGATTGTGAGAAATCATGGAATCTATGGGTTGCAAATAAATAAGATAATTTAATGACTGCATATCCTATATCACAAGTCTAGAGCTTAACTCTTTTAAAACCCAGCGGTTTGTGATAATTTCAGTTATAGTTTAAAATGCAGTCACTATCTCACAGTAGGAAGAGACTGTGGATTTGAATAAAGTCTTTGTTTCCCATGATCTCTGAAGCTTGAATCATCAATTGTAAATTCATTTGCAATTCTAGGATCACATGATTTTTAGAGGTCTGGAAGTACCTGTCACTGGTCATACCACCGGGTAGGTAGAATCTGTGTGTGAAACAGAGCAGGTGCTGCCCATTCAGAGTTAGATGAACTCACTGTATGATTCTGGCAATGGAACAAAGAAAAACCATTGAATTAAAATGAAAATATTGTTAGGCATTCTTGAGCCCGTGAGAAACATACACACACACATGCACACACACACGCTGGAATGGTTAAAAACCCAGGCTATTCTGGGTATCCATTGATAATATTGGGAGCAAATTTTAGTCCCGTGGGCAGTTCATGAATGTCTTACCTGATGAATGCCTGTTGACCCACATAACTGCAAAGCCAGCAATGGATGCCTCTCATTTTCCTAAATGTTTAGTGATTTCTTTGCTTACCGATACTTTTTGCATCTTAACCTTACTTGTGAAATTTTTAGGGAACATATATTAGAAATTCAAACCTGCTTCTGCTTGCCTCAAATATGTTTATTCAACATTGTTCTGGATTGATAGTCTAACTGGAACAGAATTTTTTTTTTTGAGATGGGATCTGGCTCTGTTGCCCAGGATGGAGAGCAACAGTTATGTAATTTCGACTCACTTCAGCCTCCACCTCCCCAGCTCAAGCAAGCCTCAAACCTCAGCCTCCCAAATAGCTGGGACCACAGGCACATGCCACTACGCCTGGCTAATTTTTTTTATCTTTTGGTAAAGACACTGTTTCACCATGTTGCCCAGGGTGGTCTGGAACTCCTGAGCTCAAGCGATCCACCCACCTCAGCCTCCGAAAGTGGTGGGATTACAGGCATGAGCCACTGTGCCCAGCCTTAGAAGATAATTTTTTATTAAAAGTTATTTTTACCCTTTACTTTGAAATAATCAGTCGGTTACTTCAGTCCTGTGATTGTTGTTGAGACAACTGTTTCCAGTCTCACGGTCACTTTTCTGTAGGCAATCTCTCTTCCATATTATTTTAATTTCTTTTTTTATAATTATGCTCCCCAAATCTCATCAGTTTTCAAAAATTCTCAGCCATGCACTAATATTTTCTCATCCTCATTCTGTTTCTCCCTTTTTGAACCCTAATTAGATGTGCATTCCACCTTTATTTTTTTCCATCTTCCATGTCTCTTTTCTCTCTTTTTTTCTCTATATTGTTATTTCTATGCTGCACGTTAGGTATTTTTTCCCATAATTTTTTTAGTTAATAAATTTTCTCTTTGGGTATAGTAATCCGATTTAAATGACCAGTTACATATTTTTACATTTTTATGAATATATACATATCCATTTCTATAAGCTCAACTGTTTCCTTCCTTCCTTTCTTCCTTCCTTCCTTCTTTCTTTTCTCTTTCTTTCTTTTCTTTCTTTCTTTCTTTTTCCTTCTTTCTTATTTCTTTCTTTCTTTCTTTCTTTCTTTATTTTTCTGCAAATATGTTGGTCACTTTAATCTTGTAATGGTTAATCTTATTTCTGTGTCTGGTAATTCCAGTACGTGGTATTCTTGATGGTTCTAATTGTGCCTTTTTGTTGTTTCTGCAGGCTTTTGGTCAACATTGATAATTTCTTTTAGTATTCAGTAACTTTAAATTGGGAGTTTAAATTTGGCTGGTCTTAGTCTGTGGAGAGCATGAGAGCCTGGCTTGAGGATGCTTTCTTCCCAGGAGGCTGTGTGTTCTTCTGCCAGGATTCCATGGGACCATAACCCAGCATCAATTTCTTGTCTTTGCCTGTTCTGGGACACACAAGTAATTCCATTAAGTAGGTATTTCCTAGTCCTCCCTAGCTGTTTGATGTCCTAGGCTTTAGGCAAAGATCTTAGTTTTAATTTACCAATATTTTGTCTTTTCTTTCCATTAAAATCTTAGTAAGCAGATTCTTCAAGGTGGCATTGACTTCTATTTTTCTTTTATTGAGATAGAATTCATATACCTTAGAATTCACTCCTTTAAAGTATACCATTAAGTGAATTTTAGTATTTTCACAAAGCTAATACCTGTCATCACTGTGTTATTTCAGAACGTTTTCATCATCCCCAAAAGAAACTCACACCCATTAACATCACTTCCCGTGCCTCGCATCCCCCTGCTTGATACAACCACGAATCTACTTTCCATCTCTATGGATTTGCCTATTCTGGGCATTTTCTGCAAAATAAATTGTACAATGAGGGTCTTCTATGACTGGCTTCTTTTACTTAGCATAATGTTTTCAAGGTTCATCCATGTTGTGGAATGTATCAAAATGCCATTCTTTTTTATGGCTGAATAATATTCCACTGTGCAAATATAGTATGTATTGTCTAATAATTCATAAGTTCACAGGCATTTGGGTTTTTTCCACTTTCGGTTTATTATGAATAGTATTGCTTTAAATATAGATATACACACTGTTGTGTGGATATAGAGAATTTTTCATTTCCCTTGAGTATATACTGAGGAGTGGAATTGCTGGGTCATATGGTAACTCTATCTTTAACTTTTGAGTAACCACCAAATTGTTTTTACAAAAGAGCTGCGCTATTTTTACATTTCTACCAGCAATGTATAAGAGTATAAATTTCTCCACATTCTTGCCTGCAGCTATTATTGTCTATCTTTTCTTATTATAGGCATATGGTGAGTATAAAATGGTAACTCACCGTAGTTTTGATTTTCATTTCTCTAGTGACTAACAATAATGAGTATCTTTTCATATGCATATTGGCTATTTGAATATCATCTTTGGAAAAATGTGCATTCAAATCTGTTGTCCATTTTAAAAAATGGGGTTGTCTTTTTATTGTTGAGTTGTAAGACTTCCTTGTATATTTGGGGTATTAAGCTAATGTTTACAAATATTTTCTCCCATTTTGTAAGTTGTTTTCTCACTTTATTCATCCTGTCTCTTGCAATAAAAAAGTTTTAATTCTGATGAAATCCAATTTCTGTGCTTCTTTGTACTTTAGTTGTCATATGTAAGAAACCATGGGTCTTCTTCACTTACCAATTATGTTGTAGCATTCTCTTCATGTTTGACCACTGGGGTTTCTCTTACAGGTGTGCATGCTCAGGTACACATTTAGCAGGAGGATTGTTATATATTTTCTAGTATGCTAGGTATTTTGTAGTGGGAGGGTTTATCAGAATATTTAGTACACTTTATTTCCAGAAACGGATGTGACAGTTCTTGCTACCATACTGTGTGAAGACGGCACAGTACCTATTGAAAAACACTTTCTTTTTTTTTTTTTGAGATGGAGTCTTCCACTGTCACCCAGACTGTAGTGCAGTGGCACGATCTCAGCTCACTGCAACCTCTGCCTCCCAGGTTCAAGCAATTCTCCTGCCTCAGCCTCCCGAGTAGCTGAGATTACAAGTGCGTGCCACCACGCCTGGCTAATTTTTGTATTTTTAGTAGAGACGAGGTTTTACCACGTTGGTCAGGCTGGTCTCGAACTCCTGACCTCGTGACCCACCCACCTCGACCTCCCAAAGTGCTGAGATTACAGGTGTGAGCCACCATGGCCGGCCCTGAAGAACACTTTTTTGGGAACTGTAGAGACCTGAATTCAACTTCTGTTTTTACACCTTAATAGCTGGATGACCTTGAGCAAATTATTTACTCTCTCAAGGTCTGAATATCCTTATGGGTGAGATGGAATGAATGATACCAAGACTTAGTTATTACAATTGTGATGAGGGTAAAACAAGATAATATGAATGGCAAGCCCATTATAAGGGCTCACTAAATATCATATAGCTATGTTACTATTGATAAAAAAGTTCACTTCAAACTGTGTTTTAAAATCACATGTCAACTATTTAGCCATTTTTTTTTCTTTTACTAAGGGTAAAATATTCTGAGAATGCTATATTTTCCTAAAGGGGAATTTATTGAGCACTGCTATATTTATTAATTTGTTTTACAAAGTAGGACAGTGAGGCTGCGGAAGGCATAACAGGTTGATGACGTTCACAAAATCAGTGAGTAGTAGAACTGAGATTTGAACCCAGCTTGTCATGCTTTGAGATAGATATCCACTTTTACTAACTCCAAGTTTCTCTTAAATCTATTTTCTCATTTCATATAGTCAGTCTTTAGTAACTTTATTCTCCACAAGGCTAATCCTATTGTGAGTGATGATTTTCTCTCTAGACCTGTTCAATACTGTAGCCACCAGCAAGACAAGGCTATTTAAATTTAAATTAATTTAAATTGAATGAAATTAAAAATTAAGTTTCTCAGCTGCACTTGTCACATTACAAATGGTTTCTAGCCACATGTGTCTAGTGTCTATCATATTGAACAACACTGATAGAGAAAGAATATTTCCATACTCGTAGAAAGTTACATTGGACAAAAGTACTCTAGATTTTTTAAAATTAAGGGACCTATATCATGGATAGCACCACAGTCTTTGTTGGCTGCTTTACTGCCCTTCCAAAATCATATCAGATATTTTTTGCTCACTGCAGCCTGCGTTTAACCACATCAATGAATGAAAGCCAGGGAAAAGACTCCAATTTTGTTGGCATTTGTTCTTTGCCCTATGCTTTGGATGAGTGAATGAGCTGCTGTTTTCCTTTCCTAAGCAAGAGTTTGGCAACCATCTCCTCCTGGGGCATACAACAATATTTCAACTCAAAATGACTCACTGCCTAAAAATAAGCTCAAATACAGCCCAAATGAAAGTATATCAAAATTACATTCTCCTGAGACTGAACCCTGTGTGACAATTTATTTCCATTATCGAAATTCTAGTATCTACAGAAATTTGCTGAATCCTGTATACTCCCAACTCTTCTTGTAAGTAAAAAAGGAAGCGTATTGCATCAGTAAGCATTTATCTCAATGTTTTAAAGAGTAGACATTTTAAGGTAATTTCTTAAACGGTAAATTTAACAGTTGATTACTACAGCAAGGTACTACTAACGAAAATTCTAACACGTAGTGTCTGTCAAGTGAAGATCATAACGCTTTTTACCCGCTGTTCTTAACACTATGATTCCAGACAGAGAAATTTAAACAAATTTTAGCAAATGTGTTACAAACACCAGTTATATAGGTGAGGATAAAGAAGATTTTGCCGGCTTTTAGATCAATGGTTTATTCAGGCTTTGGTATGTTTCTATTTAGGGGACTTTACGGCTAGTGGTTATCTAGATTTCAAGATGACTCAGTAGTTAAGAGAAAGGGGATGAGAGTCTCTGCCCTTTTTAGGGAAGTAGAAGTCAAACTGAGTTGACTTTATCCCCATTTCCTTGTCCATGTATTTGTCCGTTTTCACGCTGCTAATAAAGACATAACTGAGGCTGGGTAATTTATAAAGAAAAGAGGTTTAATTGACTCACAGTTGAGCATGGCTGGGAAGGCCTCAGGAAACTTACAATCTGGCCTTTACTATTTCGTTTCTCAGCAGAAATAATATCCCCATTTCCACGGTGTATGCATTAGTCCATTCTCACGCTGCTCATAAAGATATACCTGAGACTGGGTAATTTGTAAAGAAAAGAGGTTTAATTGACTCACAGTTGAGCATGGCTGGGAAGGCCTCAGGAAACTTACAGTCTGGTCTATATTATTTTATTTCTCAGCAGAAAGAATATAACTTCACGAATTTTCCTCAATGATAAGGCAGCACTTAGGAAATATAGCACCCATTTCCACAATTTTAAGACCTAGTGAAAAAGGTAATTTTTGAAATTGAAGGTAATAAGAGAAAGCATAAAGTGGATGAATTAGCTATCTCGAATGGTTAAGAAAAAGTATGCTCTATGAAGGCAGTGAGTGGGTCTGTTTATTTTTAACTTTAGATTCAGGGGGGTACAGGTATAGGCTTATTATATGGGTATATTGGGCTTCTAATGATTCTGTCACCCAAGTAGTAAACATAGTTCCTCATAGGCAGTTTTTCAACCCTTTCTCCTCTTCCTTCCTCTCTCCCTATTTTTAGAATCCCCAGTGTTTTTTGTTTCCACCTTTGTGCCCATGTGTACCCAATGTTTGGGTCTCGGTTATAAGCGAGAAAATGCAGTATTTGGTTTTCTGTTTCTGCGTTAATTTGGTTAGGATAATGGCCTCCAGCTGCATCCATGTTGCTGCAAAGACATGAGTTCATTCTTTTTCATGGCTGCATAGTATTCCACGGTGTGTGTATTAGTCTGTTCTCATGCTGCTAAGAAAGACATACCTGAGACTGGGTAATTTATAAAGAAAAGAGGTTTAATTGGCTCACAGTTGAGCACAGCTGGAGAGGCCCCAGGAAACTTATGATTATGGTGGAAGGGGAAGCAAACACGTTGTTCTTCACATGGCAGCATCAAGGTGAAGTGCTGGGGAACTGCCCTTTATAAAACCAACAGATCATATGAGACTTATTCACTATCAGGAGAACAGCACAGGAAACACCCGCCCCCATGATTCAGTTACCTCCCTCTCGGTCCCTCCTGTGACATGTGGGGATTATGGGAGCTACAATTCCAGATGAGATTTGGGTGGGGACACAGTGAAACTGTATCACTGTATATGTACCACATTTTCTTTATTGAATCCACCCTTGATGGGCACCTAGGTTGATTCTATGTCTTTGCTATTGTGAATAGTGCTGTGAGAAACATATGAGTGCAGGTATCTTTTTTTGTAGAATGATTTCTTTTTCTTTGTGTATGTACCCAGTAATGACATTGCTGGGTCAAATGGTAATTCTGTTTTAAGTTCTTTGAGAAATCTTCAAACTGCTTTCCACAGTGGCTGAACTAATTTACATTCTCACCCGCATTGCATGTGATTCAACTCCTCTTCCTTACCCCTCCCTAACTCCTATTTTCCCACAAATGGTTACAATTATTCCATGCTATATAAACCCCTAGTTTTAGTTGGTTATAAGGTGGATTTGAGACTGATCTCCTATTTCTTCAGCTGCAGCACCAGAATAAAGCCTTCTTCCCTGGCAATACTCATTGTCTCAGTGATTGGCTTTCTGTGCAGCAAACAGCAGGACGTAGACCAAAACCCTAGCATTTTGGTAACAAGGGGGAGAGGAGGTACCTGGGAACTCCCTGTACTTTGTGTGCAGTATTTCTACAGTCCTACAACTGCTCTAAAAGTAAGGCCTATTAACACTTTAAAAATAAGTTGCATGACTAGTAGAACAAGTTGAATTGTTTTCATGGTCCAACTTCAAAACATAAGATACATTGACCAATGGATATCTTTCAGGGAGCTGAAGTAAGTGAGCTGAAGTACTGATGTACTTGTATCCTAGTCATTTGAATGAAGGAACAGCTCCTAAAAGTGTCTATCTTAAAGCAGAATTGAGACTTGGGACAAGGAATCTGGCTCGAATATGATTTCCTGCAATATCCTACCTTTATTTCTGTCTGCTACATGAGTAATCACTTAACTAATTACATTAACATTTTTTTCATCGTTGCATTTGGTGAAAAATTTTGGAACTTAAATATGATTATTATACCTTTTGTGATCTGGTAGTATCACTGAAAAAAGTCCGAATTAAGAAAATCTATTATTAATCTGCAAGGAAGTGCTACTGTGCCAATAACAATGTACTCTCTTGCCTGTACACCCAAGAAGTCAACCTGTTCACATCTCAAAATAGTAAAAATATTCACACACAGCTGTCAGCATAAACAAAACTGTGCTCTCTGCATCGCATGGAGAGTGTTAGTAAAAACTAAAAAACGAGCACGGCTGAGCCTGTCTTTACCCAGGGCAAAAAGCTACCCTTTGTGTGTGAATCAGCAGTATACAGAATGTCTGAACAACATGAAACAAAAATGTATGGCTAAGAGATTGCAGTTGAAACTAAAAGTGCTGAGAAGTTCCTATTTGAATTTGGTTTGATTGTAAAATATATGGTACTGGCACTCTACTAAGAATAACAAACCCCTAAATATTGGGAGGGTGGGTTGAGGGCAGGAGGAAATAATCTAATCTAGGGATGATATGATAGGATAATATTTAAAAGTTCACATGAAGTAAATTTTTAGAGATATAAGTTATTAAATGCTTCCGTGCATCATCAAAGTCTGCATAAGAGCACTTGAGCTGTACCTTTTGATAAATGTATTATAGATGAGGACTGTCAGAATCCTTGAAAGTCATGAACCACAAATCGGTGTCCTCCTTAACACACTCCCGTCGTCTCTGATAAAGCTCAGGGCAATTGAGAAGCGGTAGCATGGAGAGACCATTGGTCAACCATCAGCAAATATGCATACTGGCTCCATCCACACCCATCCTCAATTAGTCGTATAGCCTTGAACAAGTCATTTGGATTTTCGGAGATTCAATAGATTCATCCCTAAAGTGGTGACAATTATTATACTAATCAAATGAAATAATGAATGGAATATGAGTTACTGTTCTTAAACACCTACAAGACTGCCTGGAGATAAATCAACTTTGTTTTTTGTCGATGGCCACATAGGTGAAGTTGTGGGTATTAGTTTTTAAGAAAAAGTAATTGCAGGGGGAAGGAACGAGTGATGAAGAGATGGAACATAGGAAACTTTTTCGGGCAGCGACACTGTTCTATATAATGTGTAATCATAGATACATGACATTTGTCAAAATCCACAGAAGCACACAACAAAAAGAGTCGCCCTTCATATGAACTGTGGGGTTTAGTTAATAATTATGTCTCAGAATTGGCATATCAGCTGTAACAAGGTAACCCACTAATGCAGGCTGTTAACATAGGGGGAGGGAGGGATGGATATGGGCTATGGGAACTCTCTGTACATTCTGCACAATTTTTCTGTAAACCTAAAACCACTCTAAAAATTGCACAAACTTAAAAACTTGAATTCATGTCTGTCAAAAAGAGAATGAGGATGCAAGGAGGAAGGGGAGGATAGGAAGGAAAGATAAATCAGAGAGTGAAAGGAAGAAAAAGCAGGACAACAGCTGGATAAAGAGACAGCTGCCAAACCGGAGGGGTGAAAAATGGGATAGGTAGAAGAAAAAGCCAAAGATGAAAGGGGAGAGTGCAAAAGAGGAAAACTAAGTAAGAGGAAGGGAGAAGGAGTCAGAAGCAGATTGAGTGCCAGCTGGCCATCACACTTAGGTCTAGCTTATGGCTGGGTGTGTGTGACCACTATTGCCTTAAAACCCCATTTTGTCTATTCTAGAGCAGAGTGATTCAACTTGGGGACAGCTCCCCACACAGGTATTCAGGGACTTTCTGTGGGATTCACTGCTTAGGGTGATTTTAAAGTTAATGATCTCAAAGTTACTGATTTTCAGGTCTTCAAGTTCACTTTTCCTATATTCCCTTTTCTCACAACCTTCTTGGAATCCATAAAAGAAAGCCATCCTCTTCCCCATCCTGATGCTTCCCGCGCTGCATTTCTTGGGCTGTTATTAAAAAAGTGAGGAAGGCAAATAAAAAGCAAATTCAAAATATTTCTTGGGAGGTTATACTTTTAAGGATCAAATTCACCATAAAACCATAAGCCTTACATTCTTTCCCTGACTTACACATATTTTTGTTAAGGATTATTTTAGAAATGCAGTGCCCTCTCCATCTTGAGATATTCTGAAGCTAAATATTTTGTGGTGTGAGAGTTGTGGGAATGATGGCAATTTTTGTTTACTGACCTCACCTCTTCAATCCTCCGGCTATTGGAAAAGGGTGCGTTGCTCTTTGAGCAGGGCTCTATTCACGTTTAGGATCTTGAAGATTATCTAATTTGAGGAACCTTCTATATGAAAAAGAATGCAAAATTACTATGAAAAATTATGTACAAACTTGACTATTTAGAAAAACACACTCAACAAATTACATTTGTTTCCAATTTGAAAATATTTACAAATGCTGCAGATATCACAAAGTTCAGAAAAATAACATGTTTTATTAACAAGCTGAATGGAAAAGCATTGTTTCCTCCTTATTCTGGCTGCATGTTTTGATTGCTTTTTTCTTTGACAATAATTCTGTCATTTTCTATGGACAGAAGAGAAAGATAATTTAACCTTTCCTCTAGCATGATTGAATTTTTTTTCTTAGTATTGATAACTTATGACACTTTCTGAAAGCTTTATAACTCATTATCAGTAATATCTGGTGGCCCTACTTTGGATTGTTACCAACTGTGAGACCATTGCTAGAAAGTTTCTTTCAAATATGAGCTATAAGATTGGGAAGAATTTGTTTCTTGGTTTCTCTTACACTATCCTCAGATTTCTGGTAGCAAGCTTCATCAGACAAGTTCATCTGGTGGTATTGCAAGTTCACATTATGTCGTAAAGTAGGGAGGATTTTGTGTTTTGTTTTGTTTTGTTGAGACGGAGTTTTTGCTGTGTCACCCAGGCTGGACTGCAGTGGCACGATCTCGGCTCACTGCAACCTCTGACTCCTGGGTTCAAGTGATTCTCCTCCCTCAGCCTCCCGAGTAGCTGGGATTACAGGCAAGTGCCACCACACCCTCTAATTTTTGTGCTTTTAGTGGAGATGGGGTTTCACCATGTTGGCCAGGCTGGTCTCGAACTCTTGGCCTGAGGCGTTCGACCCGCCTCGGCCTCCCAAAGTGCTGGGATTACAGGTGTGAGCCACCACACCTGGCCAGATTTTGAAAGATATTTCTATATGAGGACAACTAAAGTAAGAAGTATAAATAGTTATGGGCCAGGCCTGGGGGCTCACGCCTGTAATCCCAGCACTTTGGGAGGCTGAGGTGGGTGGATCATGAGGTCAAGAGATGGAGACTATCCTGGCCAACATGGTGAAACCCCATCTCTACTAAAAGTACAAAAATTAGCTGGGCATGATGGCACACGCCTGTAGTCCCAGCTACTTGGGAGGCTGAGGGAGAAGAATCACTTGAATCCAGGTGGCAGAGGTTCCAGTGAGCCGAGATGGCACCACTGCACTCCAGCCTGGCAACAGAGTGAGACTCCATCTGAAAAAAAAAAAAAAAAGTATAAATAGTTATGACTGAACAACTATGAACTGTATAAAAATATCCCATTAAACTCATAGTGAAAGTATCTCCAACTAAAAAAAAAGAAGAAAGAATAAAAAACACATTTAAAAAAGAGGAAAAAAAATTCTCCAACTCACATTCCATTTAGTCACAGCCTCCAAAAAGCCTGAGGACCACTCCAGCACAACAGGATGTATAGAGAGAAGGTTGTCAAAGTTACAGGAGCAGCAGTTAAGGATAAACTTACTATTACAAATTTTATGAAAATGTAGTGACGATGTAAACACATTGCCTGGGCCCCTTCCAGGCCTGGTGGGACAAAGATTTTGCGCAAGCAAGGGCCGCTGCCATTTCAGCTTATTGACTTATACAGGATACCTGCCTTTCTGTTTAAGGGAGAGGCTATGAATGCCAAGAAAAAAGCAGTATCACAAGTATGAAATAATGAACACTAAGAATGACATTTTCTTCAAATATTTAAATATAAACAGTTTTTAAAAGCTATTCTCAATTCCCATTTCCAGGTCTTGATAATAACAGGAAAGAAATGCACTTTTCAATATCTGAAGCAATACAACTTGGTGAGACTGATTTGCTGAGAAGTTACTCGAATCTCACTTTGAGAGGCCAAGGCGGGCAGGTCACCTGAGGTGAGGAGTTTGAGCTGTAATCCCAGCTACTCAGGAAGCTGAGGCTGGAGAATAACTTGAGCCTGGGAGGCAGAGTTTGCAGTGAGCCAAGATCTGTGTACTCCAGCCTGGGTGACAGAGCAAGACTCTGTCTTTAAAAAAAAAAAAAAAAAAGAGTTACTTGAATTTTTTTTCTGGGACTATTAAAAATTCCTGTTCATACTGAGTAGAACCCATGGATAAAATTTTTACATGAATTCTTTAGAATCGATGTATTTGATTCAAAAAGGAATTTTAAACCTACTTTATCAAATGAGGTAAAGAATTGTACTATAAAAGCTACACAAAAAAGAATCATACTATACTGTAATATAATTATTCTAAGAACAGTCTATCATTACCAAAAAGTGTAATTATATTCTAACTGCTCAACCAATTATCTTTTAGCAATAGTTTTTTTCATTCATTATATGTGTAGGAAAAGTACAATTATGATGATTCAGTGTATTGATGTTATTTCTGAGCTTTAAAAATGTGATTTTTCAGCAAAAAAAAAAAATTCAGGCAAATATCCTTGAAGAACATTGATGCAAAAATCCTCAGCAAAATACTGGCAAACCAAATCCAGCAGCACATCAAAAAGCTTATGCACCACTATCAAGTAGGTTTTATCCCTGGGATGCAAGGTTGGTTCAAAATACACAGATCAACACAAATCAATAAATGTGATTCATCATGTAAACAGAACTAAAAACAAAAACCACATGATTATCTCAATAGATGCAGAAAAGGCCTTTGATAAAATTCAACATCCCTTCCTGTTTAACACTCTCAATAAACTAGGTATCAAAGGAACCTCAAAATAATAAGAGCCATATATGACAAACCCACAGCCAACATCATAGTGAATGGGAAAAAGCTGGAAGCATTCCCCTTTAAAAGCAGGACACAGTAAGGATGCCGTCTCTCACCACTGCGATTCAACATAGTATCAAAAGTCCTGGCCGGAACAACCAGGCAAGAGAAAGAAATAAAGGCTTCCAAATAGAAAGAATGGAAGTCAAACTATCCCTGTTTGCAGATGAGATGATCCTATATCTAGAAAACCCCATAGTCTCAGCCTGAGATCTCTTTAAGCTGTTTAACAACTTCAGCAAAGTCTCAGGATACAAAATCAGTGTACAAAAATCACTTACATTAGTGTACACCAACAACAGTCAAGCCAAGAGCCAAATCAAGAATGCAATTCCATTCATAATTGCCACATAAAGAATAAAATACCTAGGAATACAGCTAAACAGGGAGGTGAAATATATCTACAATGAGAACTACAAAACACTGCTCAAATAAATCAGAGATGACACAAACAAATGAAAAAACATTCCATGCTCATGGATAGGAAGAATCAATAGCCTTAAAATGGCCATACTGCCCAAAGCCAACTTATAGATTTAATGCTATTTCTATTAAAGTATCATTGAGTTACTAAAAAACTAGTTTAGTAGTTTTTAGAGCTAGAAAAAACTTTTTGAAAATTAATAGAGAACCAAAGAAGAGCCCAAATAGCCAAGGAAATTCTATACAAAAAGAACAAAGCTGGAGGCATCACATAACCTGACTTCAAACTATACTACAGGACTACAGTAACCAAAGCAGCATGACACTGGTACAAAAACAGACGCATGGTCCAATGGAACCAAATAAAGAACCCAAAAATAGGGCCTCAAACCTACAACTACCAGATCTTTGACAAATCTGATGAAAACAAGCAATGGGGAAATGATTCTCTATTTAATAAAAGATGCTGTGATAATTGGCTAGTCATATGCAGAAGACTGAAACTAGATCCCTTCCTTACATCATATATAAAAATTAAAGATGAATTAAAGACATAAAATGTAAAATGCAAAACTATAAAAACCCTGGAAGACAAACTAGGCAATACCATTCTGGACATAAGAACGGGCAAAGATTTCATGATGAAGATGCCAAAAGCAATTGCAACAAAAACAAAAATTAACAAATGGGACCTAATTAAACTAAAGGGCTTAATCCCAGTGCTTTGGGAGACCGAGGTGGGTGGATCACCTAAAGTCAGGAGTTCAAGACCAGCCTGGACAACATGGCAAAACCCAGTCTCTAATAAAAATAAGTGATTTTTATTTAATTTTCTTGTCATGCTAAGCAAAATAAATTGCAATTTTAAATAGACAGTATATTGGATTATAACAGGTTGAGGAATGAGAAATAAGTGTTCTTATTTTTATAAATTTATATGATACAAATAATTACATTATATAATTTTGATTTTCACTGTCTTGTTCTCATTTCTTAATATGAATGTGAAGACATTTATTTGAATGGAGTTGAATTGAATCTAACTAAATTGAACCTAAATTGAAGAATAAACTCAGACATTTTCTGAAAGTTCGATTGGCTGATTGTTGACCAAGGAGGACTAAGTTTGTTATTAGAATGTATGTAGACTATTTTCCACAAATGGAAGGAGCTAAGTCTGCAGCTCCAAGATTTGGGTCAAAAAGTTGTTTATGCTGTTCATTAACAGGAGAAAAAGAAAGGAAAGGAGAGGAGGAGGAGGGGAGGGGAGAGGAGGAAAGTAGGAAGGAAGGGAGAGGCTGGGTGCTGTGGCTCACACCTGTAATCCCAGCACTTTGAGGGGCCGAGGTGGGAGGATCACCTGAGGTCGGCAGTTCAAGACCTGCCTAACATGGAGAAACCTCGTCTCTAATAAAAATACAAAAATTAGCTGGGCGTGGTGGTGGATGCCTGTAACACCAGCTACTTGGGAGGCTGAGGCAGGAGAATTGCTTGAACCCAGGAGGCAGACGCTTCGGTGAGCCGAGATCGTGCCATTGCACCCTAGCCTGGGCAACAAGAGCAAGACTCTGTCTCAAAAAAAAAAAAAAAAAAAAAAGAATGGAAGATATTTAAGCATATGATTCAATAAAGATATTATTAAAAGTAACTCAGGGCTGGGCGCTGTGGCTTATGCCTGTAATCCCAGCATTTTGGGAGGCTGAGGCAGGTGGATCACGAGGTTAGGAGTTCAAGACCAGCCTGGCCAAGATGGTGAAACCCCATCTCTACTAAAAATACAAAAATTAGCCCGGCATGGTGTTGGGTGCCTGTAATCCCAGCTACTAGGGAGGCTGAGGCAGAGAATTGCTTCAACCCAGGAGGCAGGGGTTGCAGTGAGCCGAGATCAGGCCACTGTACTCTAGCCTGGTGGCAGAGTGAGACTCTGTCTCAAAAAGAAAAAAAAAGTTATTCAAGCATATGATTAAATTAAAAATTTTAATAAAAAATATTGTAACAAAGGTGTATTGAAATAATCAATGATATGATTTTTCCAACTCTTTCCAAATCTATTGGGTTATGCAAAGGTTCTCAAGCAGGCATAATTAATACACATTTCATAAATCTTAGAGAAACCTTTTGGTATACTTCCCAGAAACTGAAAGAGTTTATTGATTAACAAATCAAGTCATTTCCAATTCTTCCTTTCAAAAGATTTAAAGGAAGACCTAATCAAATTGTCAGTTCATACATCATTAAAAATAATTTTGATGATACATCATTATATGATATTTGGTATATACCTCAAGAAGAATTTGAAAAACTAAATGAAATTGTTATAAAATTTCTTCCATTCCCATCTACTTATTAATATGAGTAAGGCCTCTGAGGCTTTCCAACAATAAATACAATGAATTAAACAGGATTTGTACTCAGCAATATATAATATTCATCCATGAATACATGAACTGATTGATATAAAAAATAGCCCTAGTTATTTCATTGTGACATTCACTTCCATTAATCTTTACCCTTTGTTTAAAATAACTCTGTAAGATTGCAATATAGTTGTTGTATTAATTGTATTATATTAATATATTACTGATGATACTAATAACCCAGGAAAGTAATTTTTAGACACTTAGAGACTTATTGTCAGAGGGATTTTACAAAACCTAAACATTTAATTTATATAAATATTTTTGTGGCCGACATATTTTATAAAATCAATAAAAGACAATAATAAAAACACCTTACAAAGGATAAAAATATAGGGAAGGTGAAATAGAATAGCATTTCAAGAGGAAAATAAAATTTTGTAAAGTGTTTCTATTAAAGAAGAGCCTGTGCATTAATTTAAAAAATTAATTTGAAGTTTATTGGATACATTTATTTGTTTTTATGATGGTAAGAACATTTAACATGAGATCTACCCTCTTAACAGATTTTTAAGTGTACAATACAGTATTGGTAGCTACAGTTATGATGGTGTGTAGCATAGCTCTAGAACATATTCGTCCTCCATAGCTGAAACTTCATACTTATTGAACAGCAACGTATGTGTCTTCCCCCTTCCCAGCCCCTGACAACCACCGTTCTACTCTTTGGTTGTATGGGTTTGATTACCTAAGGTACTTCATATAAATGAGATCATGCAGTATTTGTCCTTCCATGACTGGCTCATTTCACTAGTGATGATGTCCTCATGGCTCATCAATATTGTCACACCATGGCAAGATTTCCATCTTTTTTAAAGCTGAGTAGTATTCCATTGTGTGTATGTACAACATTTTCTCTCCATTTGTTTCCATGTCTTGGCTACTGTGAATAGTGCTGCAGTAAATATGGAAGTGCTAGTATCTCTTTAAGACCCTGATTTCATGTGGAATTCAGTGTGGCGATTCCTCAGAGACCTAGAAACAGAAATACCACTTGACTTAGCAATTCCACTATTGGATATATACTCATGAGAATGTAAATTCGAAGATACATGCACATGTATGTTTATTGCAGCACTAATCACAATAGCAAAGTCATGGAATCCACTCTAATGCCCATCAGTGATAGACTGGATAAAGAAAATGTGGTACATACACACCATGAAATATATGCAGCTGTAAAAAGGAATAGATCACGTCCTTTACAGGGACATGGATGAAGCTGGAAGCCATTATTCTCAGCAAACTAACACAGGAACAGAAAACCAAACACCACATGTTCTCACTTATAAGTGGGAACTGAATGGTGAGAACTCATAGACACAGGGAGGGGAACAACACACACTGGGGCCTGTCGGCGGGTGGCAGGGAGAGGGAGAGAATTAGAAAAAATAGCTAATCCATGCTGGGCTTAATACCTACACCTAGGTGATGGGTTGATAGGTGCAGCGAACCACCATGGCACATATTTACCTGTGTAACAAACCTGCACATCCTGCACATGTACCCCAGAACTTAAAGAAAAAAATGCCCGAACAATGAAGATCCATAAAAAAAGAGACCCCAATTTCAATTCTTTTAGATAAACACATACAATTGAGATTGCTGGACCCTATAGTAGTTCTACTTTTAATTTTTTTGAGGAACCACTATACTGTTTTTTGTAGAGGCTGCACCATTTTACATTTCCACCAACAGTGCTCAAGGGTTCCAGGTACTCTACATCCTTGCCATCATTCGTTGTCTTTTAAAAAATAATAGCCATCCTAACAGATGTGAGGTGATATCTCATTGTGCTTTGATTTGTATTTCTCTGAAGATTTTTCAGGGATACAGGAGAAAAATATTTGAAGACAAATGCTATAAATGTTACCAAGAACCTACTAAGGATACTGTAATTTTTTTCTTTGAGATAATTTTATTATTCTAAAATGAATATATAAGTTATAATTTAAATAATAATAGGATTATAATAAAAATTAGTCATCCTCTACTCCAGGTGTCAGCAAACTACACCCTACCAGGTGTTTTTAATGAAAAAAAAAGTCTCATTGGAGTCCAGCTATGCCCTTTATTTCGAGATTTTCTACAGCTGCTTTCATACTACAAGGACAGAGATGAGGAGTTGCAGTAGAGACCCTCTGGCCCATAAGGACTAAAATACTAAAATAAATGGCCCTTTACAGAAAATATTTGCCAATTCCTTCTCTACTGCACCCTCTACTCTCCATTTCTACTCCTGTGAAGCAGAAATTAAAATTCTTTTAGCTATATATTCTGCTATTTAACTCCACATTTATAAATGTCATGTATATAGCTGTTATCCTACATTGGAAGATAGACACACGTACAGGTGCTCTAAACAGACACACAAACACTTCCCTTCTGCTTTAATCAGTATTTAGACGGTATTTTTAGTTACTATGACTATAGAATTATTGTTAACAGCTGGGACATTTCATTTACTTCCTGTGCCATCTTTTGATTTTCCTGAAATTAGAATTACTGTGATGTGTGCAAGTACAAAATAATAGAAACCTCACGTTTGCATAGAACTTGGCACTTTCAGAAGGATTTTACCTACATGCCTCTAATGCACATGCAGAAAAGTATAAGAGTATTAAATATGCAGCTGGATAAAATTTTACAAAATGTAACCGTTGTCCAGATCAAGATACAGAGCATAACCAGCACCTCAGCGTTTCCTTTGTGTTCCCTCCCAATCATTATAGCGCTAAAAGCAACCACTATTATTACTCCCATCACTACAGATTTCTACTTTTGTGTTTTTTTGTTTTTTTTTTCCTGAGATGGAGTTTCGCTCTTGTCACCCAGGTTGGAGTACAATGGTGCAAGTTCAGCTCACTGCAATCTCCACCTCTGGAGTTCAAGCAATTCTTCTGCCTCAGCCTCCTGAGTAGCTGGGATTACAGGCACCCAATACCACGCCCAGCTAGTTTTTGTATTTTTAGTAGAGACGGGGTTTCACCATGTTGCCCAGGCTGGCCTTGAACTCTTGACCTCAGGTGATCCACCCACCTCGGCCTCCCAAAGTGCTGGGATTACAGGTGTGAGCCACAGCGCCCGGCCTGTACTTAATATAAAGGGAATCAGGGAGCAATTACTCTTTTGTGTCTGACTTCCTTCATTCATGTTTGTGAGATTCGTTTATGTGGGCACATGTAGCAGTAGTCTATTATTTACGTATGCTACTTGATCAAGTCTATATACCATAATTTGTTTAGCCAGTCTAACATTAATGGACATATGGGTTGTTTTCAGTTTAGAAGAATCATGAACAACACTGTGATGAATTTTTTGGACTGTGTTTTGGTGAATATATGTATATATTTTTGTTGAGTATTTAAGAGTGGAAATACTGAGTCATAGTATAGGTATACATAGCCTAAGATTTTCCAAGAGATCGTATATATTTGTACTCCCACCAGTACTGTGTGAGATTTGAATTGCTCCATATCTTCTCTAACACTTGGTAGTTTCATTTTTCACACGCCCTTCTCATGGCTGCATAGTGGTGCCTCATTATGATTTAATGTGCATTACTTTGATATTTCTTGAGGTTGAATACTTTTTAATGTATTGATTGATCATTGATATATCCACTTAAGTGAAGTTCATATTTGTGACTTTTGTCCATTTCTTATGTGGCTTTATTTGTTGCTTTACATGAATTCTTTTTATATTTTGCCTAGGAATCCTTTTTTTGGAGATATATATGTGTGTGTGTGTGTGTGTGTGTATATATATATATAATAAATATCTTCTCCCCCTTCATGGTATATATTTTTAATCTTTTAGTAATGTCTTTCAGTGAAGAAAAGTTCGTAATTTTTCTGGCTTTTCCTTTATGATAGGTGCTCTATTTGTAGCTTAATAAATCTTTATCTTAGGACCATGAAGGTATTCTTTTATGCTTTTTTGAAAGATGTTTTTCTCTAAAAGTCCACCTGAAATTTTTTCAGTGTATTGTGTAAGAAAAAGAACATGACTCATTTTTTCCCACATGTACGGCCAGTTGATCCAGTCCCATTTGTTGTCATTTCCTTTTTGCACTGTAACAGTACCTTTGCCATAGGTGACCAAATAGGTATAAGTCTCTTTCTTTTTTTTTTTTTTTTTTTTTTTTTTTTTTTTTTGAGACGGAGTCTCTTGATCTGTCCAGACTGGAGTGCAGTGGCGCGATCTCGGCTCACTGCAAGCTCGGCCTCCCGGGTTCGCGCCATTCTCCTGCCTCAGCCTCCCGAGTAGCTGGGACTACAGGCGCCCACCACCACGCCCGGCTAATTTTTTTGTATTTTTAGTAGAGACGGGGTTTCACTGTGTTAGCCAGGATGGTCTGGATCTCCTGACCTCGTGATCCGCCTGCCTTGGCCTCCAAAAGTGCTGGGATTACAGGCGTGAGCCACTGCGCCCTGCCAAGTCTCTTTCTTGACTTTTTATTTTGATCCATGAATATATTCATTTGTCTTTGAACTAATATCATACCAATAGCAATAATTACTATGGCTTTACAATATGTTTTAATATCCAATTGTGTAAATCCTTCTACTTTTTTTCTTCTTATTCTTTTTACTATTTGTGACCTTTTGAATTTTTATAGGTATTTTGAAATCAGCTTGTCAGTAATCATAAAAATCCTACTGGGAGTTTAAATGTGATTGCACTGCAGCAGACCAATCAATTTGGGAAAAATTGATTTCTTAATAATGTTGAGTAGTCAACCTACGAACATAGTATGTCTTTCCACTTATCTGGAAGGTTAGAGGATACAATGATAGGTAAGACACATTCCTGCCTTCCAGGAACTCAGTCTCAAACAGGATTTCTGAAAGTGTGTATGCATTGACGCTTACAAGGAACTATGTGAAGAACAGCTTCAAAATATGAGGCAGCGGGTCTAGTTTTCACACTACATCAAAAACCAGTAACTTAGAATCTTCATCAGAATCTCTCTGAGTGGTCCCAGTGATCTTTATCCAGGTCCTTCTGGTGATTCTTATGTATAAGTTAAATCATAAGCATTTTAATTTCAAAGAATTAGTAAATAATTTTTTAAAAAATTTTGTCTCATACATGACTTATGCTTACTTATCTTTAGTTTTTTTGAGTTTCTTTCTTTTCTTTTCTTTAGGCTACAATTTGGACTACTTTCACTGATCTTTCAGTTCACTAATTCTCTCTTCTGTGTGTAATGTGCTATTAAATCCAACCACCAAATGTAATTCTTCATTTTAATCTTCATACTTTTCAGTTCTAGAATTTTCATGCTATTTTTTCCTTATAGATTTCAGTCCTTTATTCAAAAATCTTCATCTTTTCTTTTATATTCTTGAATATGTTCATTCTATTTGTATCTTAAAGTTTATTTCTTATGGGTCTGTTTCCATTGGCTGTTTTTTTCCCTTTTTTAAAGTATTTTATTCTATCTCTTAGCATAAATATAATTTTTTATAGAATGTTATGAGATGATTCCAAGTGGGGGACCCATCCTGCCATAATAGTGAATCTCGTCTTAGACTTTCTAGTCACAAATGTGTGTGTAACTAATAAAACCACTATGTACACACATAGTATTTGCTTTAATAATTTTTTTCCTAACTGGCTTCTTTGCAGTAGACATTTAACACAATATGTAGACAATTGCAGCCACCTGATTGTCCCTGGAGAGTTAATTGACGTTACTCAGTAATTCTCCCCATTTTAGGCCAGTAGATGCTTTTTTAGAAAAAGGTTTTGCCCATCTTTCTGCTCATCCAGTATTATGGTCTTGTTCAATGTGGTGGCATATAGACCAAGTAACTCAACATACAAGACTTCCTTCTCACAACCTAGCAGAATTATCTTTACATAGGTAAGAAATGTTTCCATTTTCAAGTTCTAATCAGGAGACAGAAGCCATATAAATTCTTCTAACAGATAATTTGGTATAAATTATAGTTAACTAGGTACTAGATAATGCAAAAGGCAAATATCAACACATAGATGTCACAGTGATATGGTTTGGCTGTGTCCCCACCCAAATCTCATCTTGTATTGTAGCTCCCATAATTCTGATGTGTTGTGGGAGGGACCTGGTGGGAGATAATTGAATCATGGGGGCGGTTTCCTCCATACTATTCTAGTGATAGTGAATAAGTGTCACGAGATCTGATGGTTTTATAATGGGGAGTTCCCTTACACATGCTCTCTTGCCTGCTGCCATGTAATATGTCCCTTTGCTCTTTCTTCGTCTTCCATCATGGCTGTGAGGCCTACCCAGCCATGTAGAACTGTGAGTCCATTAAACCTCTTTCATTTATAAATTACCCAGTCTTGGGTATGTCTTTATTAGCAGCATAAGAACAGACAGAATAGTAGCTGTGGGATCCCCAGGGCTGGGAGAGAAAAGGAGGTAAGATTGCAAATCACTAAAACCAGGTAGCTTTGAGGTGAGGCCCCATAGAAAGGACAGTAAGACCCCTGAGAAGGGGGGTGCCACCTGAGTGGTGCTGTTGTCTCTGAAAGAAGGCATTGATGTTGGTCCTGAGAAGGTTGTAAGTCTGTATGCTGGAAAAAGCTGCTGCTCCTGGAACAAAATTCTGCTGCCAGAATGAAGAAGTAGTGTTGCTGTAGGGATGATGAAAAAAACTGGGAACAAAATAGGAATCAGGAAGCAAAACAGGAAGGAGAAGTATCCTTGTTTCTCCTCTAGCCTTTCTTTGTCCCTCTAGCCAACCCTAAAAAGAAGTCATCTGGAAAATAAATAGCAACATCATATTTTTCCCACTTTGGGATACACATTTATTTTATATGTAATCATATTAGTAAGTGGTAGGACTCTTAGAATAGATGGCATATGATGGTAATGGTTCAAGTAGTGTTTTTTCCTTAATGTCATATAAAATCATGGTGCCTCTAATAATCAAATTCTTGAATTTTATAAGATGCAGTATTTTTAAAAGCATGAAAATGCTTTCCATAATCGAACATTCTGACTCTAGTAATGATTGTTTTTGTCTTCTGAGTTCTCACAAACCATCTGTTAATTAGTTCTACGTCTATTTGATTCTTCTCTCTTTTTTTCTTTATTAGTCTTGCTAGTGGTCTATCAATTTTGTTGATCCTTTCAAAAAACCAGCTCCTGGATTCATTAATTTTTTGAAGGGTTTTTTGTGTCTCTATTTCCTTCAGTTCTGCTCTGATTTTAGTTATTTCTTGCCTTCTGCTAGCTTTTGAATGTGTTTGCTCTTGATTTTCTAGTTCTTTTAATTGTGATGTTAGGGTGTCAATTTTGGATCTTTCCTGCTTTCTCTTGTGGGCATTTAGTGCTATAAATTTCCCTCTACACACTGCTTTGAATGTGTCCCAGAGATTCTGCTATGTTGTGTCTTTGTTCTCATTGGTTTCAAAGAACATCTTTATTTCCGCCTTCATTTCGTTATGTACCCAGTAGTCATTCAGGAGCAGGCTGTTCAGTTTCCATGTAGTTGAGCGGTTTTGAGTGAGTTTCTTAATCCTGAGTTCTAGTTTGATTGCACTGTGGTCTGAGAGACAGTTTGTTGTAATTTCTGTTCTTTTACATTTGCTGAGGAGAGCTTTACTTCCAAGTATGTGGTCAATTTTGGAATAGGTGTGGTGTGGTGCTGAAAAAAATGTATATTCTGTTGATTTGGGGTGGAGAGTTCCGTAGATGTCTATTAGGTCCACTTGATGCAGAGCTGAGTTCAATTCCTGGGTATCCTTGTTAACTTTCTGTCTCGTTGATCTGTCTAACGTTGACAGTGGGGTGTTAAAGTCTCCCATTATTATTGTGTGGGAGTCTAAGTCTCTTTGTAGGTCACTCAGGACTTGCGTTATGAATCTGTGTGCTCCTGTATTGGGTGCATATATATTTAGGGTAGTTAGCTCTTCTTGTTGAATTGATCCCTTTACCATTATGTATAAAGGGGATATCACCACCGATCCCACAAAAATACAAACTACCATCAGAGAATACTACAAACACCTCTACGCAAATAAACTAGAAAATCTAGAAGAAATGGATAAATTCCTTGACACATACACCCTCCCAAGACTAAACCAGGAAGAAGTTGAATCTCTGAATAGACCAATAACAGGCTCTGAAATTGTGTCAATAATCAATAGCTTACCAGCCAAAAAAAGTCCAGGACCAGATGGATTCACAGCCGAATTCTACCAGAGGTACAAGGAGGAACTGGTACCATTCCTTCTGAAACTATTCCAATCAATAGAAAAAGAGGGAATCCTCCCTAACTCATTTTGTGAGGCCAACATCATCCTGATACCAAAGCCTGAGAGAGACACAACCAAAACAGAGAATTTTAGACCAATATCCTTGATGAACATTGATGCAAAAATCCTCAATAAAATACTGGCAAACCGAATCCAGCAGCACATCAAAATCTTATCCACCATGATCAAGTGGGCTTCATCCCTGGGACTCAAGGCTGGTTCAATATATGCAAATCAATACTTGTAATCCAGCATATAAACAGAACCAAAGACAAAAACCACATGATTATCTCAATAGATGCAGAAAAGGCCTTTGACAAAATTCAACAACCTTTCATCTAAAAACTCTCAATAAATTAGGTATTGATGGGACGTATCTCAAAATAATAAGAACTATCTATGACAAACCCACAGCCAATATCATACTGAATGGGCAAAAACTGGAAGCATTCCCTTTGAAAACTGGCACAAGACAGGGATGCCCTCTCTCACCACTCCTATTCAACATAGTGTTGGAAGTTCTGGCCAGGGCAATTAGGCAGGAGAAGGAAATAAAGGGCATTCGTTTAGGAAAAGAGGAAGTCAAATTGTCCCTGTTTGCAGATGACATGATTGTATATCTAGAAAACCCCATTGTCTCAGCCCAAAATCTCCTTAAGCTGATAAGCAACTTCAGCAAAGTCTCAGGATACAAAATCAATGTACAAAAATCACAAGCATTCTTGTACACCAATAACAGACAAACAGAGAGCCAAATCATGAGTGAACTCCCATTCACAATTGCTTCAAAGAGAATAAAATACCTAGGAATCCAACTTACAAGGGATGTGAAGGACCTCTTCAAGGAGAACTACAAACCACTGCTCAAGGAAATAAAAGAGGATACAAAGAAATGGAAGAACATTCCATGCTCATGGGTAGAAAGAGTCAATATCATGAAAATGGCCATACTGCCCAAGGTAATTTATAGATTCAATGCCATCCCCATCAAGTTACCAATGACTTCCTTCACAGAATTGGAAAAAACGACTTTAAAGTTCATATGGAACCAAAAAAGCCCGCATCACCAAGTCAATCCTAAGCCAAAAGAACAAAGCTGGAGGCATCACGCTACCTGACTTCAAACTATACTACAAGGCTACAGTAACCAAAACAGCATGGTACTGGTATCAAAACAGAGATATAGATCAATGGAACAGAACAGAGCCCTCAGAAATAATGCTGCATATCTACAACTATCTGATCTTTGACAAACCTGACAAAAACAAGCAATGGGGAAAGGATTCCCTATTTAATAAACGGTGCTGGGAAAACTGGCTAGCCATATGTAGAAAACTGAAACTGGATCCCTTCCTTACACCTTATACAAAAATTAATTCAAGATGGATTAAAGACTTAAATGTTAGACCTAAAAACCATAAAAACCCTAGAAGAAAACCTAGGCATTACCATTCAGGACATAGGCATGGGCAAGGACTTCATGTCTAAAACACAAAAAGCAATGTCAACAAAAGCCAAAATTGACAAATGGGATCTAATTAAACTAAAGAGCTTCTGCACAGCAAAAGAAACTACCATCAGAGTGAACGGGCAACCTACAAGATGGGAGAAAGTTTTCGCAACCTACTCATCTGACGAAGGGCTAATATCCAGAATCTACAATGAACTCAAACAAATTTACAAGAAAAAAACAAACAACCCCATGAAAAAGTGGGCAAAGGACATGAACAGACACTTCTCAAAAGAAGACATTTATGCAGCCAAAAAACACATGACAAAATGCTCACCATCACTGGCCATCAGAGAAATGCAAATCAAAACCACAATGAGATACCATCTCACACCAGTTAGAATGGCGATCATTAAAAAGTCAGGAAACAACAGGTGCTGGAGAGGATGTGGAGAAATAGGAACACTTTTACACTGTTGGTGAGACTGTAAACTAGTTCAACCATTGTGGAAGACAGTGTGGCGATTCCTCAGGGATCTAGAACTAGAAATACCATTTGATCCAGCCATCCCATTACTGGGTATATACCCAAAGGACTATAAATCATGCTGCTATGAAGACACATGCACACGTATGTTTATTGCGGCACTACTCACAATAGCAAAGACTTGGAACCAACCCAAATGTCCAACAATGATAGACTGGATTAAGAAAATATGGCACATATACACCATGGAATACTATGCAGCCATAAAAAATGAATGAGTTCATGTCCTTTGTAGGGACATGGATGAAATTGGAAATCATCATTCTCAGTAAACTATCACAAGGACAAAAAAACCAAACACCGCATGTTCTCACTCATAGGTGGGAATTGAACAATGAGAACACATAGACACAGGAAGGGGAACATCACACTCTGGGGACTGTTGTGGGGTGGAGGGAGGGGGGAGGGATAGCATTAGGAGATATACCTAATGCTAAGTGACGAGTTAATGGGTGCAGCACACCAGCATGGCACATGTATACATATGTCACTAACCTGCATGTTGCGCACATGTACCCTAAAACTTAAAGTATAATAATAATAAAATAAAAATAAAAAATTAGTTCTACAGTTTTGCAGGGGCCTCATGTTAATCTTTCCGATTTATAGTTTCTTCACTATTTCTCCTTTTTTTTTTTTTTTTTTTGAGACTGAGTCTCACTCTTTCACCAGGCTGGAGAGCAGAGACATGATCTCGGCTCACTGCAATCTCCACCTCCCGGGTTCAAGCAATTCTACTGTCTCAGCCTTCCAAGTAGCTGGAACTACAGTGCCCGGCAACATGCCTGGCTCATTTTTTTTGTATTTTTAGTACAGACAGGGTTTCACCATATTGGCCAGGCTGGTCTTGAACTCCTGACCTTGTGATCTGCCCACCTTGGCCTCCCAAAGGGCTGGGATTACAGGCATGAGCCACCGTGCTCGGCCATGGTACTCTGCCTCATCTGTTGAATCCTTGGTCAAAAACCATTATGAGCATTTTCTGTGTTTTAGTCACCAAGCAGTAATACTGTGATCACATTTTTAGGTTCTTTTGGTGTCTTAGGATTTGAGTCAAATGAACATGAACACTCCCTAAGAGAACTACTGTTCTCTCCTACTTTAGGTCCAAATTCCCTGTTAATAGTATTTGTAACTCTTTGAAGTTTTGCCTTAGAGTTTGTGGAAACTTAGTATCCTTCAGTTGTAGCAATTTTGACACCAAGATAAATAAATTTATGGTATTCTGGGTCTTTCCAGAGGAAGTTCAAGCTGAGTCTAGAATGCACCTCTTTCTACCTGGAAGGGCATTGCAAAGCACTTTGTGTAATTACCATTGCATCACTTATGTCTATAATGTTTTGTGTGACTCTGGAATTTCACCTCTTCACCTTATCTTGAGTTTGGTTTCAACATATTTTAAAGTTTTTGAAGAAATGCACATATGTTGACTAGTGGGGGAGAGAGGTTACACTTTCTCTTCTTCTTTGCATTTTATGTGATATGTCAATATGCAAAACGGAGGAGAAGTATCTTATCACATTTTAACATTATTGGAAAAACACAATTTCACCAAATAAAGTGAAGGGCTCTATATAATTTGTTTGATAATACATTTTATTAGCTATTTCTGCTAACAAACTACCCAGAACCGAAGAATTTTGTTGCAAAACCTCCTCACCTAGCTAGAAAAGGTCATTTGGTATATTTTCTATTTTCCAGTTTATAGCAAATGACAGTTTAACCATAATTGTGCCAATATATAACATAGATCATGATTTTCCCAGCCTCTTGTAGGTGTTCTCAGTATTCATCCAGCCTTTTCTTGTAGTTTCTTCAACCCTGCCCCCCAACTGCCTACAACCTAAGCCTATATCACATATTTCAGGAGTATGTTTTGTTTTGTTTACAGAAGGACCCCACTTGAAGGTGTTGAAATCTATAGTAATCAATTACCTCTGCCTGAAGTAAAGACCTCCCACTTGAAGATGCTGAAACCTATGTTAATTATCACTGCCTAAAAAACAACCCGCCAAAACTCAGTAACATATAATTACTATTTATTTAATTCTTATGGGTATATGGGCCAGTTGGTGTTTGGTTGATCAAAGCTGGAGTTGACTGGCCTTGGCTCTAAGATGCAGACTGAGCTCAAGTTTTCTCTTCTTCTCTCACCCTCACAACAGCCAAGGCACAAGAAATCAAGCCCTGAGGCAAAGACACATTTCAAACCTCTGCCTAGATGATGTCTGCTAATATCCCATTGCCAAAGCAGCCTAATGGGCAGAGAAGCGTATTCTGCCCTCACTAAGGGGAGGTGGGAATGTACATTTGCTCAACAATCATTCCAATTATCCTAGAGGTTAGCCAGAGAGTGGATGTAGGAATCTCAGATAAAACTTTCATGTTGTTAGATCTTTGAGTATTTCTGTCATAAACCAATGCTAGTCACATCACTGTCTATGATTCAAAGACATGTTTTGGTCACGGTAACCCAAGCATCCAAGCAATAAAGACTATTCTCTTTATTGGATGGATGGATCTACCACAAATAGATCCATCCATAAACTGCATAATAACACAAAGAGAATAGTCTTTAAGCTACCCAGGGAGTATCATTATGGATTGTGTCCCCCTGAAATTCATATGTGAAAGCCCCAACCCCTAATTTGACTGTATTTGGAAATAGGGCATTTAGGGATGTAATTAAGGTTAAATGAGATCATAAGGGTGGCATCTTAATACCGACGTTCTTGGCAGAGTCTTGTTCTGTTGCCCAGGCTGGAGTGCAGTGGCACAGTCTTGGCTCACTGTAACCTCTACCTCCTGGGTTCAAGCAGTTCTCCTGCCTCAGCCTCCCAAGTAGCTGGGACTACAGGTGCGCACCACCACACTTGGCTAATTTTTTGTATTTTTAGTAGAGACAGGGTTTTCACCATGTTATCTAGGCTGGTTTCAAACTTCTGACCTCAAGTGATTTGACTGCTGCAGCCCCCCAAAGTTCTGGGATTACAGATGTGAGTCACTGTGCCCGGCAATACTGATGTTCTCATGAGAAGAAGAGATACCAGTGGACTTTCTCTTTACATGAGCATGGAGGAAATTCCATGTGAGGACACAGCAAGAAGGCAGCTGTCTGCAAGCAAGGAAAAGAGCCCTCACCAGACATGGAATTCGCAGACACTTTTTTCATGGACTTCCAGCCTCCAAAACTGTCAGAAAATAAATGTCTTTTATTTAAATTACCCAATTTATAGTGTTCTGCAGCCCAAGCCGACTAATAAGGAGAGGGAGAATGTGAAATGATGGTAATGGCTGGCTGGTATTTAAAACTAAAAAAAAGATGTAGTCCTGGAGGAACACAAGTTGAGCTTGGGTCAATATTATAGCAATATTGTCAAGATACCAAACACTGATGATGGGAGCAGACAATTAACATCTGTCTGTGAACTAGGTAAGACATAAGAAAATAGGGTGAGGTGCTATATTAGTCAGGGTTCTCTAGAGGGACAGAGCTGATAGGATATATATTAAGGGGAGTTTATTAAGTATTAACTCACACCATCACAAGGTCCCACAATAGGCCATCTGCAAGCTGAGGAGCAAGAGAACCAGTCTGAGTCCCAAAACTGAAGAACTCGGAGTCCAGTGTTTGAAGGCAGGAAGGATCCAGCATGGAAGAAAGATGTAGGCTGAGAGGCTTAGGCCAGTCTAGTCTTTTCTCATTTTTCTGCCTGCTTTATATTCTAGCCATGCTGGCAGCTGATTAAATCGTACCCACCCAGATTAAGGGTGGGTCTGCCTTTCCCAGCCCACTGACTCAAATGTTAACCTCCTTTGGTGACACCCTCACAGACACACCCAGGATCAATACTTTGCATCCTTCAGTCCTATCACGTTGACATTTGGTATTAACCATCACAGGTGGACTTCATGGTGAATGGGAGAGTGCATGCTTTGTTTAGAGAATCTGCAAAAGAATTAGAAAGATAGTTGAAAAAAGCAAAAATGACAAAAATTAGTTAGTAGATGAATGAGAAGATGGTACCTTACATTATCAGGGACTCTAAGCTAGATTATTTAGGTATTCTATAGCTAGTCCCTATCTCCATGGAAATTAGAACCATAGAGACCCACCTAAGGTTCAATGTGAGAGATATTAATTTGAAAAGAATCATTAGAAGAGAAATAATTTTGATAACCTGTTGAGTCCCCTTTGAGCTTCATGTCAGCAGAGTGTTGAGAATTAAGGAATGTTTCCAGTCACAGCCTCCGTAAAGGAGGCACACTGAGTTTTCAGCTAGTAGGAGAAAAGTGAAAATGGAAAAAACTAAATGAAAAATAATGTCTTTTCCTGTAAAGTGGATTGACATATTTATAGGCACATGTTAATGCATGCATCTCCTCACTGACTTCTCAAAGCAGAATTTTCCTGGTGCAGAATGAATGTTCAAAGAGAATCCCAGGAGATCTTGTCAAATCTGCACTGTGGCCTATCATTTGTTTAGATCAGATGTCTTTGTTTTGATGACCTTAGAAAAGACTCAACAATATAAGACAGGTTAAAAAAAGGTTAGCCAAAAGCAAGCAGCAAAGCCTTCTCTCAGACTGGTGAATTTCTTTATAGCAAGAATTATATATTTGCTTTTCTTTTTAATGTACAGGAGTTTCCAGCACCTGTGCTCCTGATTAATTCTGAGTTCTATTTCACTGACTTGTTCTCTTCAGTTGATCTCTCTTTGCTATTCTCATATATCACTTATCCCAGAGTTGCTTACTTTGAGATTAAGGGGCAGGGAGCAGTGGTAAAGAAACAGTCTTATTTAGTAAAACAATTATAGAATACCAAATTATTTCACCACCTTCACTTCCCATAAGGTGGCTAGACTCAGTAACATAAGACTTGATAACTTTGAACTCTCCCTTCAGGTCCCAGAAAAGAAGTGATCATTTTGATTCTCCTGAGTGTCATTTGGAAATGTTTCCACATTGTGATAAATAATGTCAACCAATTCCCCAATCCAAAAAAGTGTAATACTTATGACTTCTTGGCTCTGTCAAAGATTGTCCAACAAAATGAAACATCTAGGAGGTCATTCTGCTCCCAAGATCTGATCTGCAAGTACATCTTTGAGGCTGATTTTCTTAGGAAGAGAGAATAATTCACAGTGCCAGGGACGTAAGTTTCTTAAAGATATGCTGTCTCTGGTAAGCTCCAGAGCTTTCCTTTGGCCACAGGTGGGACACTTCAGAGCTGCTCTCCCCAGGTGACTATGAACATGAGAGAAGGTGGTAGTGATGTCAGAGGCGTTTGAATCACAGCAACTCCATCTTGAACAGAGGCTGAGTAAAGTAAGGCTGAAACCTTCTGGACTGCATTCTCAGATTTGGCATTCTTAGTCACAGGATGAGATAGGAGGTCAGAAATACTAGTACCACAAGATACAAGTCGTAGAGACCCTGCTGATAAAACAGGGTGTGGTAAAAAAGCCAGCCCAAACCCACCAAAACCAAGATGGCGATGAAAGTGACATCTGATTGTCCTCACTTCTCATTATACCTTAATTATAATGCATTAGCATGGTAAAAGACATTCCCAGCAGTGCCATGACAGTTTACAAATGCCACGGCAAAGTCAAGAAGTTACCCAAATACTCTAAAATGGGGAGCAACCCTTAGTTCTGGGAATTGCCTGCCCCTTTACTCATGAATAATCCACCCTTAGTAGCATATAATCAAGAAATAACCATAAAAATAGCCAACCGGCAGTTCTTGGGGCTGCTCTGCCTATGGAGTAACCATTATTTTGTTTCTTTATTTCCGTAATAAAGTTTGTTTCTTTACTTCACTTTACTGACTTGCCCCAAATTCTTTCTTGCGTGACATCCAAGAACCCTTCTTGGGGTCTGGATCGGAACTACTCGGAGAAAAGGATGGAGACACGTGGGAGCTGATCTACAGGAAAACACACCAACAATCTTTCTCATTCCATATATGCATGAATTAGAAACTAGCTGAGTGGCACTCCATCCCATGAGATCTATTCTCTGAACATGTATCTACCTCCCATTAGCATTGTATGAAAAAGCTTTTTTGTAATAATAATGAAGCTCAGGGAGGGAGACCTTTGCTACCTAATCCATAGGGCTATATTCTTCTCCTGATAGACCTATAACTCCTATCATAGCTAATGGGAGTTCCAAACTGACATCAAAAAAGCTGTCTATCCCATTGTGTGAAAAAGGTAAAGATCTCTTTTTGCAAACCTCATTATCATTCAAACTGATCTTTTCTCTTCTGCTTTGCTCTCAAAGGCTGTGCCTCTCCCTTGAGATACTAGTAAGGCGGGAGAGCCTTGGAAATTACACATCTGGTAAATAGAACAGATTTCAATGCAGCTTACTCCACTGTTCTTCATCTGTGTCTCTTGGATACCAATGAAAAGGTTTTAAACTTAAAAAAAGACATTATTCTTTCAACAAAATGGGCTCACATTTAACTCAAAGAGCATATGTTCTGCAAATGTGATACAGAAAAGGTTAGTCTGAAGCCACAAAAATTTATGAATTCTTGAATTCAATGAAGGAAATCAGGCAAGCCATACAGATCTCTCTGCACTTTCTAGTCCTTCTCTGTTTTTGCTGCATAGATTTTTTTTAAAGCTATTAAGAGAATGGGAGTAGTGGAAAGGGGTAAAACTAATATGAAAAACATTTTTTAGAACTCTTTTTTGTTTGCATTTTCAGTTTTTGGCTATAGCATTCATTCTGACACTTTGTAGAATGCCACCTTGAACTGTTAAACAAGACATTTCCTCTCTCCTTTGTGATGATGTCCTCCTTATAAACATGGGATATGTATTTTGCACCCTTCCCTCATAAAACCTCAACATAATGTTCAGGAAGCCAAATGGAGCTCTGTGACTCTGTTGGTTTGTACTGTATAGACAAGGCTAAGTGAAACTACATTTCCCAGAATTCTCTTTTCTGTATGTTTCTGGGTTAGAGTGACACAAAAGAGAAACTCACATGCTATTGGGAAGGCAGAGGTAAAGCGGTGATCACCTTGCTCTGTAAGCTGGGATACTAGAATAGCGGTCCCCGACTTTTGGGCACAAGAGACTGGTTTTGTGGAAGGTAATTTTTCCACAGATGGGGCAGAGGGTTTGGTTTGGGGATAATTCAAACACATTGCATTTATTGTGCACTTTGTTATTATTACATTGTAATAGATAGTGAAATAATCCCACAACTCACCATAATGTAGAATCAGTGGGAGCCCTGAGCTTGTTTTCCTGCAACTAGACAGTCCCTTCTGAGAGTGACGGGAGACAGCGACATGCCATCAGGCATTAGATTCTCATAAGGAAAGCGCACCCTCGAATGTGCAGCTCACAACAGTGAAGTGGCATTGTTGTCTGGGGTAAATACTCGAGGTATTTATTTTTGCACCAACCTAATAGAATTTAGCAAAGTTTATAGGCTTAACCATCATTCTATTTTTTGTATCATGTAAGATTCTAAGTTTCTACCCTAACATTAGCAGATTTCCATTTATGCCATTGCATCGGTGACAAAATGGAATGACCCAACATTTCTGTGTTATTTTTGGCAATAAGGATACTTTTATACAAATACATCAGTGTTTTCCCATGTATCTCAAGGCATTCTCAAGTCATATAGCAGTCTTATATTCCCTACATGGTTCTTTTATTCTTGAAGATCTAAACAAACTGTTATGCAATATTTTAAGTCTGTAATTACAGCCAATATGTTGGGAGTGCTATTTGATTCTGAGACCCTGATGGAGTGGGTACCAACTTTTCCAGGCTGAATCTAATAGCAAAGGCAATTCTTACCCTTAGCTGTAGTGCATATAGTGCTGGAAGCAAATAATAAGATATTGGCTAAGAGAGACTACTAAGGATTCAAGCCAGAGAAAGGTGACCAAATAGATTGTCATGGTAAGGAAAACTGAAGAAGGAAGGTGGGAGCTGAGAACACAAGTAGTGAAAGCCAAGAGATAGCAGAGCTAAGCAGGTCTAAAGTAAGTATTTTCCAGTGGTAATGAAGAAAAGGGGTGAAAAAGCCTGGAAGGATCCCAGAGACAGGGAGCTGTCTCTGGTGCTGGGCTTTTGAGCCTTTTCTATGATAGTATTTATGTGAGAGGGGTGTACCCACTTAAAACAATCCAGAGTGAGCTAGCACAGCATAACTGCAATAAAGATAAGTATGACTTTATATTACTGATGTCTACTCTCTGTCACTGGTTTAGACAGAGCTTTCTCCAACAATTGTCTTTATTCTTTTTTGTCTTATCCCCCATCTATTTAAAAAAAGAACTCAGCACTATTATTCCAATTACTGGTGCCCTTGTATACTAAGAATAACCTTGACCCAGTCATCATGGTTCTTAACTTTACCTTATGAGTTTTCTGGCCCTGAGCTCGAATGATGAGACTGAGGGTTCTCCAGCCACTCTGTGGAATCAGGCATTACTGTGGCTGCAGCAGATAAGGATGGACAGAGCTAACAATGGCCTTGAATCTGTTTCCAGTTCCTCAGCGTGGTCATCCTGATATGTAGAACCCTGGCTAGGAATGCTAGAAGGCTGGCCAAAGTGCCATGTACCCTAAGTAAAGTTGACCCTAATATTCTGCTTGTTAATGTAACTGTATTTTTGAAGACAGAATTACTTATCCAAATAAACAGGAATAAGTAGTCACCAAAGACTAACTGAAGTGCTGATTATAGAATGAGAGAGTGAGTTCCCCGAATGTCTCCTGAGTCTAATGTTGAGGGCACAGTGTCATGAAGGTGCTGACACACATCTGTCATCAACAATATGAAGGATGAGAAAAATGGAGAGAAAGTGTCAAGAAGTAAAATAAGCAAGTAGAATTTAAATAGAGACTGAACATAACAAAGCAAATGGGAAAACAAAGAGAAAATGCTTTCCCTCTGCTCAGAAATGCAGTGTCTGTATGAAAGATCTGGTCTTCATTTAGTAATTTTTCAACGTTGACAACCAAACTGGATAATTGAGGCCCAAAATAGAAAAACACACACCCTTGATTGTAATTAGCCAGTTTTCTCCTGAATTATGTAGGTCTTTATCTTCCCTCTCTACTCAATCTTGCATAGCATGTCTTAACAGAGAACAAGCAAGAGGGACAGATCAGCCCTTCTGTGGGGATGTCTTGGCTACATAGTGGACAGACAATGGCAAAAAGAAAGAGAGAAGAAGAGGAAATGGTGCAGCAAAGTTTTGCAATGAAAATACACACCAATGCACAACTCATTTCATATTCTCAGTAGAGAAAACATGGGGAATTTACTTGTGGGTGTTTTTTTTTCAATGGGACACCAGTCAGGAAGAAAAATGATGCTGAACTTGCCTGAAAAGTTCATACACATGTTAACTAAAATTGAACGAAGACTGTAAACAGAGGAAAAATAAAATTTCTTAGTAAGGTCTGAGAGCAAATTCTTAGACTAACCGTGACTGGAAATGGGCATCCACAATACTCAAGGGGCAGGCAGAACTTCTCTGAGCTCAGTGTGAGGGAAAGGTGAGAGGAAAGGTAGAGCACCTGATCTCTTATTAATGACAGGTCTGTGTGCGAGATAGAGTTTTTGTAAACTTTTCACAGACGATAGGAAAATGTTTGCAAACATCAGAGAAGACCAAGGAAATGTCATTATCTATTATCTAATTATCAAAGACTGTGCATTTTAAATTTTGGCAAAATGGATGTTTCCTCTCTTGCCCATCCCCATAAGGACCCTAGAAACCCGCAAACGTCATCTAAGAGTAAATAGATGGAAAGAATCGTGGGACAGTGGAGTCATAGGATTGGAAGACTTGTAATTATCTGCAATGTTCGCTGATATGCAGCAGCTGTATTTGATACACACAGGCACACTTAAGATAATAAAACAACAGTAGCCATGGTCCATCCATGCAAAATTGTCTGTTTATTCTTTGTTGAGACTTTCCTTGTGCATAACATTTTCACTGACTTTTTTTTTTGAGCCTCTGAGAAGAATCAAATTATGCTTATTAAAAATATGTATATTTCTGGAGGGATATGCGTTCCTATAACCTTCATTACGATGCTCTTAATTAACCAATATGCCTCATAATAAAGTATCTAGCTGTCACCAAAATCAACACTTTTCAGTTATTAATAGATTAAGGAAAGAATGTTAATTTCTTCAAGCTCCATTTCATTTGGTCTCATTACTTCAGGAGCCAGATGGTTCCAGGGCTGGACCTGTCAACAGTTACTGTGAGGACAAATACATTCAGAAACACCAAAATGAAGTATGAATAACAGCTGAAAAATGAATTTGAAGATAACAATGCAAAAAGCAGGATGGAAAGTTATTCTGCCGAGAAATAGAGAAAATTATGAATCAGGCACGTTTTAATTGATATTTTTCCATGAATACCCTCTCTTTTCCTCCCCTCTTCCCATTAAATTTTGTGCCGCCCCCCCCCCCCCCCGCCACAAACCAAATAACAACTGTGCAGGGCTCCAGCTGTGTTGCAGAGCAGCTCTGCATTTTCCAAGTGTCTGACAATTTCTCTTGTCCCTCACGCTGCCAGAATCTGACAGTTCTCCTACATTGTTGGTTGATTGATGATGTCAACTTGGAGGAGACAGTACCACCAGCAGCCAGTTTTTTCCAAGATATTTTTCTTCTTTGATTTTCAAAATTCCTTCTGAATGAATGTTTCAAAAGGAAGTCACCCTGAAGGGCACCTCCAACCTGGCTCCTTGAGTTACCCTGTGGCTGGCTGTGTTTTGAGAAACGTAAAACTGAGTGTGTTTCTCTTAAGTATTGGGTGAAATAACCGCTGAGTTTCCTGACGACTTTCAGATTCCATCATTCTGTAATTCATCCAAGTGATGGTCAATATCTAAAACGAAGAAACAAGAGGCTGGAATCATAGACCATATTTTTGGTGAATTTCTGTGCTTCCAAGTAAGTCATTCGCTCTGGATACACCACAGTTTCTGTTATCTGCCAAATAGGGTCAATAGTCTCTGCTTGTAAAATATTTTGTGATGCTCAAGGGTGAAGTGTTACGCAACTTGCCATTTCTATGTCACAGTAGTTCATGTGGGACCGCTTTGTATTTCTAGTCCTTCTTCGCCACAGATGTGTCTCAATACCTGCCCTCTAGTGGGCCTGAAGCAATTTGCAACCTACTTCTATTTTAAGGGGAGACTTAAATTGCACAGATTTGCTGATGTTTGGTTATTAGCACCTAGATGCCTAGCAACTGGAAATTAAAGCCTTTCTGAACTTGAAGGAATCTTAGAAATTCCTTGTCCAAACCCTGCACTTTACAAATGAGAAACTGAGAAACCACAAGAGTTTAAAAGACATGCATAAGGTCATACATATTGTCTGTGATGGTTAATTTTAAGTGTCTCCTTGACTGGATTAAGGGATGCCCAGATAGCTGGTGAGGCATTATTTCTGGGTGTGTCTGAAAGAGCGTTTCTGGAAGAGATAAGCTTTGGATTAGTGGACTGAGTAAGGAAAACCCACCCTCACCAATGTGGGCAGGCAGCATCTAATCCATTGAGGGCCCAGAGAGAACAAAAAGGCAGACAAAAGGCAAATTAACTCTCTCTCTCCTGGAGCTGAGACAATCTTCTTCTCTGGTACTTGGACATTAGAAATCCAGATTCTCTCGACTTTGGATTGTGGGGTTTGCACCAGTATCCCTCTGGGTTCGCACCAGTATCCCCCTGGGTTCTCAGGCCTTTAGCCTTGGTTTGAGAGTTGTACTATTAGCTTCTCTGGTTCTGGCCGTTGTAATTTATCTGAGCCATGCTACTGGCTTCTGTGGGTCTTCAGGTTAAAGCTGGCCTATCTTGGGGCTTCTCAGCCTCCATTATCACATGAGTCAATTTCCCTAATATGTCCCTTCTCATATCTCTATCTATACCCATACCTATACTTATGTCTGTCTGTCTGCCTGCCTGTCTACCTATCTATCCTATTGGTTATGTCTCTCTGGAGAATCCTGACTAATATATTATATAACCAACTCCAGGTTAGAAAAGTAGAGAAACAGAACAGAATGCAGAGCTGCCCCCAGACCATGAATCTTGTTTATTAAATAAAAAAGCTCTTTCTCTTTTTAAGTCCTAAAATTCATTCACTTATCTAAGCATGCATTTATTATTTACTGAGAATCTACTATGTTCTAGATTTTGTTACAGACATCAGGAGTAACTTTTGAGCAAATACATCCTTCAGCAATTATTTTCAACAGTCTCTTCTAATTCTGTAGAAAATTAACTTTCCCTCAAACAATTGTTTCATTCTTAACAATGAAAAAGTTCTTAAAAATCAAAAGTATGTTGTTTTTAGGATACTTTTTCTTCTTCTAGGGTGAAAAATCTGAATATGCAATTCTTTCATCCAGGCTAGCGATCCGAATTTTAAAAAGGGAAGAGTCCAGTTTAACTAAGGAAAAGTGGGTTTGAGGAGGAAAATTTACTGTCCGTGTGTTCCTTCATTCTTGTATCTGAGTTGCATGAGTGTCTTCAGTTAGTTCTGCTTGTAAGTTACTCCATGCTTAGCTGAGGATGGTGCCCATGCTAGCCAATGCCCTCCTGCCTTTTACAGTAATAACCTGGTGGAATCATGTTATTGCATTTTCTCTCCTTGTCCCCAAACTGATTAGAAGAATCAGTCTTCTGAGGAAATATAGAAGTGTGGACAAAGGACATTTGGTTCTAAATGAGTGATGGGTACAATTTTTGTAGAAGAACGACTTTTGGAAAAATAAAGCAGTTCAAGAGACACACTTATTTTTTTCTCAAATTTCAAAATGATAATAGGTTTATTGAGTACCGTGGAAAAGCAATGTATATTTTATTCCACCTAAAGTTACCTACTCAGCTGAGAAGAAGAATGCCAGTTTGAAACTTAACACTGAATTCTAGGCACTAAAGGTAACCAAATAGTCAACCATTGTGGCAACAGAAGGTCCTCTTGCTATTCTTCCATCCGGGCTGCCTCTATTTACCTGGGCCTTGAGTAGCTCATTGCTGGCATAGATTGAGAATACCACCAGTAGTTTGACTTGTCTGGGTAAACAAGGAAGACTCATAGGTCAGGCCCTGGAAGTGTATTTGTATTTCTAATACAAATACCAAATACAAGTTTTGTATTTGCACGAGGAGCTGAGTAGCCTCTTGGGAAAGATCCCATGTTGAGGGAAGAGAGAGACTTGCATATTAAGTTTGGCTAATAAGGTGTCTCAGCCATTGGAGAGCAGGGTAAATTTTAATACAAGATGTTGTTTGTTGCTTATATTTTCCCAAGCCAATTGACCTTGAGACCTAGAAAGGGGTGAACCATTTGAGTAAACTGAATAAGCTATTTTCTTGCAAGCTCGCGAGAGTCACTGGAAACCAAAAGGATTTTAGACTACAACAAAAGTGAGGCATTCTTTCCCCCTGGGCATTGGGTATTTGACCACCTTGGATTCCAGCACAGTATTCTCACCACTGACTCCAGTTGCATTCAGAGCTGAGAGCTGCATCCTTTTGGGCAGTATCTGTGTCACTCAGCTTCAGCAGCAGCCAGAGGCAGTGCCAGCCAAGCTTGAGGATGCTGGACACTGGAACAAGGGGTGACATTGGGTTGGGCTTATCTTGACAGGGACCTCCAGCAAGAGCAAGGACAAGGGCTCAGCTCCAAGAGCACTAAAGAACTCAGAGCAGGAGGGAAGGAGAGAGGGAGATGCCTGTTGCTAGCTGAAAGGATTTGTCTGTGAGTACATATAACAGACCCTCAGGGGCTCCTAGAAATAGTTGGAAGGAGGAAGAGACCTTGAAGGAAATGAAAGGAGCTCCAGAGGTTTCACAGTTGGAGGAATAAACCCTGGGAATTACTGTTAAGTGGCCCCCTTTTACTTTTAGAATGATGTGAATTGAGATTTTTTTAAAAAGCCTTAGAAAGGCAGTAGCGTAGTCCTTTGAAGAAAACAAAAGGGAACCACGTCTTCTGTATTTAACCTTTGCTTTGCCACTACCAGATACCAAAAAGATGACTCCAATTTTTTGTAGTCCACCATATTGGAATTGGGCATTCAGGTCTGTTTTGGAACTATTCTTAAAAGTCCCATAGTTGTAGTTATATTTTGTTTACTCTCCAAGAGGGCCTTCATGTTCCCCTCAGCTTTATCAAATTTTAGACAGATTTCTATCTGACTATAGACCTCTGACCTTACTTTCCTTAGAGCATTTACTTTAGAAAACTTGGAATTGTAAATTCTTTCTCTGCCCCTCTGAGATGTAAGTCTTCTCCCAAAGTCCTGCCAGTTTTATAACTCAGGAATATCTTTCTCAAGGACCTAGGAGACATGCCTTTGAATGGTAATCATCACGAAAGATAGTGTCCTTGTCTCTCAGTCTCTGTGAGAGGGTAGGAGCCTAACTTCCATAGCACCAATTAGCAAACAGAAGAAGTCTAATCACATTGACTAACTTCCTCTTTAATGTCCTCTAGTACTTTTCCTCTAGCTCATCCCAACACAGTGCTCCCATCTTGTTTGAGCAGAGTTGAGTTTAATCTATCTCCCATATTGTAATAGTCTTGAATAACGTTTTTCTTGCCTGTTTAATTCTGATCAGTATAATTTTTCCTTGATACTACCAATAGACTGGATACTTTTCCTTGTTACTTAGACTAATCCTGGCTGGACAGAAGGATTTTTACCTGATTGTATTTTATGTATTTATTTTCTTCTCCTCCTTCTTTTTCGTTCTTTCTTCTTTGAGATGGGGTCTTGCTATGCTGCCCAGGCTGGTCTCAAACTCCTGACCTAAAGCGATCCTCCCACCTAGACCTCTAAAACTGCTAGGATTACAGGCATGAGCCTCGTGCCCAGCCTTGATTTTAGGTTCCCTTACTCTCTCCTGACCCCGATATAAATGAGCTTTCACTTAGTTCCTGAGCTCTGACCCAACCCTTGCTCCCCTTGACATGTCCCAGTTATTATAATTGGACTTAGCCTTGATCTGTCTTTCCCAATTTTCTTTATGAGAAGCTGCCTGGTTCTTGTCTTATGTCCTGGCTGGTACCCTTTCTTGATGGGTAGACATTCTACATTGTACTTCGCCAACCTGTTTATACCTCCGAACTCATTATCAGCTTGGATTCCATAGTGTCAATTGCTTGCCTGGACTGAAAGTGAACATGATGAGAAGATGCCTTGGAAAAAGCACTCAGATTCCCAGATTGCATGGCCCTTGGGTATTTGTATCTGGATCACTTCTCTCCTATGTCCCCATCTTGGCTCAATGAATAAGTTTCATTTCAGGTCCTTGCTCCTGCCCACCTGACTTATATTATTGTAATCTCATTAAGCTCTTTTATTGACCTCTGAAGTCTTTTGAGAGGAACATTTAGTGGCCTCTGTGTCAGATTTTAAAAGAAATATTATAGGCATTATTTATTGTAAGGCTTTTAACATCCTATGAAGTGGAGACTTTGCAACCCTCATTTTATAAATTAGATAACTGTAGCCCAGGGAAATTATGTCACTTGTCCAAAGACACAAGGCAGCTGTGTGCTTTTAGATCTTGTACTCTTTCTTCTGTACCATGCCGAGGGTCAATGGTATTAATGAAATACCTTCATAAAGCTTTCAGGGAACAATGTAAAATTTAATTCGACAATTTGGTAATGTAACATTTAGCTGAAATTTGATATGATTATGAAGTATTATGGTAAGCCACACCAAAATATTTTGGGAACCATTAAAAACTGGTTTTGGTGAGTCTTTTAGGAAATATTTTCAAAATTTGTACTTGTGCTTTTTTATGTGTACATGATTTTTGTTTCAATTAGAGGTATTTTTCTTTAGCATCTGCTTCTCTCACCCCATAACATGTATTCTCCTACACAGTTTACTCATTCTGCGTTATGCCTTCCCTTTAAATATTCTTGTTTTCTAAGGATCTATTTTCTAGAACGCTACTGTCATATCAATCCTATTTTAAAACACCAAAAATGAGACCTGACATAGTTGCATAATGATTATTGGTTTATGTCAATCTGAGTATGGGACTGTTAGGGAAGGTGGGTCTATTGTTTACTAAGAGCCTTTTAGTTCCACACACAGCAGGTTCCTATCCCTTTCCCAAGGCACACCAGCCCACATTCAGAATTGCAGCCATTGGGTAATATGTTCTGGGGCAGTGCAGTCTGCTTGTCTCTACACCAAGAGGGTCAAAGTGGAGATTGCTGCCCCTACTCCGGCCCCCCCCCCCGCCCCCCTCATTCATAGCACTCTAGGGACACTTTGTTCACTAACCACTTGAAACATGATTCACATGCGCAAGATCACCTTTTCAATGGTGTGTTAGTTTTCTATTGCTGCTGTAAAAAAATGGCCATAAGTTTAGTGGCTTAAAACAACACAAACTTATGATTTTATAGTTCTGGAGGCCAAAAGTCCCAAATCAGTTTCACTGGGATAAGTTGAAGGTGACAGCAAGGCTTCGTTCTCCCTGGAGGCAATGAGGAAGAATCCATCTCCTTGCTTTTTCCAGCTTCTAGAGTAAACTTGTCCAACCTGCAGTCCATGGGTCATATACAGCCCAGAATGGCTTTAAATGCGGCCCAACACAAATTCGTAAGCTTTCCAAAACATTATGAGATTTTTTTTGCAATTTTTTTTTTCAAGATGAAGTCTTGCTCTGTCACCCAGGTTGGAGTGCATTGGCATAATCTCAGCTCACTCCAACCTCCGCCTCCCGGGTTCAAGCGATTCTCCTGCCTAAGCCTCCTATGTAGCTGGGATTACAGGCACCCGCCACCATGCCTGGCTAATTTTTGTATTTTTAGTAGAGATGGGGTTTCACCATGTTGTCCAGGCTGGTCTCGAACTCCTGACCTCAGGTGATCCGCCAGCCTTAGCCTCCCAAAGCACTGGGATATTACAGGCGTGAGCCACCATGCCTGCAATTTTTCTTTTCTTTCTTTTTTCTTTTTCTTTTTCTTTCTTTTTTTTTTTTTTTTGTTCATCAGCTATTGCTAGTGTTAGTGTATTTTATGTGTGGCCCAAGACAATTCTTCTTCTTCCAATGTGGCCCAGGGAAGCAGAAAGATTGGACACTTCTGTAATCTAGACACTGCCTGCATCATTTGACTCGTGGCTCTTCCTACATCTTGAAAAGCCAGAAATGTAGCATATTACCTCCTTTTTAACCTCCATTTCTGTCCCTACTTATTCTTTCTCTTTGACAATGATGCTCTTGCACCTTCTTATAAGGGCCTTTTTGATCACTGTGGACCCACGTGCATAATCTAGGATAACCTCCCTTACTCAAGATCCTTCACTTAATCGCATCTAGCAAGTCCTTTTTACCATATAAGGTAATATGTTACTATTTCTGGAGATTAGGTTGTGGACATCATTGGGGAGCTATTTTCAATCTACCACAAAGGATTTAGTTTCCAACATTGATAGCACAACTGGTGGGGAAAAAAAATAGTTTGATTTGGCCGGGAGCGGTGGCTCACACCTGTAATCCCAGCACTTTGGGAGGCCGAGACAGGTGGATCACCTGAGATCAGGAGTTCAAGACCAGCCTAGCCAAAGTAGCGAAACCCCATCTCTACTAAAAATACAAAAAGTAGCTGGGCGTGATGGGGGGCACCTGTAATTCCAGCTACTCAGGAGGCTGAGGCAGGAGAATCACTTGAACCTGAGAGGCGGAGGTTGCAGTGAGTCAAGATCGCGCCATTGTACCCAGCCTGGGCGACAAGAGTGAAACTCCATCTCAAAAAAAAAAAAAAAAGTTTGATCTATCTTTTCCTCCCGTCCTCTGCTTCTCCCTTTCTTTCTTTCAACATTAGAAGATCTGACTGTAGTAGAAAGGCTAATCTATTGGATGGTGGAAAGATTAAATGGAGTGATAAACTGTAAACTCTGGGTCCTAGATGTAGCTCTTCACTGATGTTAAGGAATCAGAGAATATCTGTTTTGTCTATCACAAATCTGAAATAAAAGTGTAATTGGTACATTTTTATTGTCGTCAAAATGTACATCAATCTCATCCTTCCTCCTTTGGGGAAAAACTGTGGTCTAAAACGGAAGTAATACAAAGGTCATGTGCCATATTTTCTAAAATTTAAGAATAATTTTAAATTATTTTGAAATGTCTTGCAATACTATTAATGTCTCACTTAAAGAACCCTAAAAACATAAATCTCCAATAATTTTTTTAAAGAAGCATGCTACCATGTTAATTAAAAACAGAAAAAAATTATTATGTGGGCTTATTTTGGAGGTTTTCGTAGAACCAAATTTGGGCTGAATTGTTCTAAACTCAGACATTTGTATATGTGTAGAAAACTCAACACATTCTTTCCTAAAGTTTAACTTATCTTAGGGATAATCAGTAGTTCTAAAAAGCTGAGGTCAATTGGGTGCATTTAGCAGATTACTTGTTCCAGTTCTTTTCTAGAAACAAATCCACCATAAGGTCAATGCATTCAGCACAATTGTGGATCATCTGGAACTTTAAAATCTGGGAAAAAAAGCTGTTCCCACCGGCCCTAATAAGCAGATGAAATATAGGAGACTCTAAAGGACTTTACCTACATGCATTTTTAAATTCCTCGTGTCAGAAGAAACCTCTTCTGTCTTTAATATAAACAGGGGACAAAATTAAATGCAAAAGAGTCTGCTAATGCAGGATTGAGATTCTCAGAGGAACATCAATTTTCCCACATTCTACACATTCTGAATATTAAGGTATCACATTTAAGAGACTAGCTAGCTCTGAAAAGCACAATATTTGAAGCATAATAGATACAAATGAAAGGAATGACAGTAAGTCTCACTTTTTGGTATGTATGACCACAGTGGAGTCAACTGTTTTGTTTTTTGTTTTTTTTTTTTTTATTATTATTATATGAGATGGAGTCTCACCGTGTTGCCCAGGCTGGAGTGCAGTGGCGTGATCTCGGCTCACTGCAAACTCTGCCTCCCAGGTTCAACCCTTTCTCCTGCCTCAGCCTCCCGAGTAGCTAGGATTACAGGTACCCACCACCACTCCCGTCTAATTGTTGTATTTTTAGTAGAAAAATACAATACATATAATTTTTGTATTTTTAGTAGAGATGGAGTTTCACCATACTGGCCAGCTGATCTCAAACTCCTGACCTTGTGATCTTCCCAAAGTGGATCCCCCTCAGCCTCCCAAAGTGCTGGGATTACAGGCATCAGCCACTGCGCCCGGCCGGAGTCAACTCTTGATTATTCAAGGTTGACTCTGAGAATTGGTGTGATCCTTGCCTCTTTTGTTTTTTCTTCCTTTCTTGTAGTCCCTTCCATGAAAGAACTTTCAAGCTCAGGGAGAAGAAAAAAAAGGAGAGCAGGCAATTTGGTTTCCAATTCATTGCTCAATTAGTGTTTTGGGAGATGGGGATGTAGGGCCAGATTGAAATTGTCATTAATCAGTATCACCCGTATCTTGTCTCCTGAGTAGCTTTCCATAAAAATGGGGGTCTTATGCATTTACTCTTAAATGGTTCCCCTTTTTCTCAGGTTGACCAACAACCAGCAAAGATGATTTCCTCTAAAACCATTTGAATTTTCAAAATTTTTTTAATCGAAAAAAAGTTTATATATATAGAAAATAGAATAGAGATGAATTCAGTGCACAATTTATCAGAGGTGGAAAGAGGTGGATGCCATATAAAATAATCCATAGATTCTGACTTTACCACCCTTTCCAGATTTTGAGAAGTCTACGTAGAATTTTCAATAAAGACTCTGTTGAATAACAATAGCAACACTCTGTACTTATACAGCTTTTTTTTCCTTGAGTTCAGAGTGCTTTATAAACACTATCTCATTAATCTTCACAACTTCCCTATATGGAAAGAGGTTTCAGCTATCATTACTCACATCTTTATCAACAAAGAAACAGTTGCCTGCAGAGTGGCTAAGCAACTTGTCCAAGGTCACTGAGGGAGTGAGTGGCAAAGCCAAGAATAAAACTCAGGGCTTTGACCTTCCAGTTTAGTATTCTCTCCAGGAGGCCACATTGAAAGAAGAGCAGCTTCTAACATGCATATTCATAAATCTCCCAAGAAAAATCTACCATTTCTCAATATTTACATGAGTCAAACTTTTATGCTAATTGGTGATGGTTTGAGAGAAAACCTAATGGTAAGTGCTGATGGGAAAATACTTGAAATTGTATTGAGAGAGCACATAGATCTCAGACTCTGAGCCTCATTAATCATTAGATTACCAGCTGTTGACTGCACACAACTTATTAAGCCTATCAGGTTAAAGAAAGCCAAGGAGCAGGCAGTAGCCACACAGAACGTGAAGACCCTGCCTGAGAATGACTAAACTCTCGGTTGATCCAAACATGACACCTCTTTTTCCTGGACCTCTACCACTTCTGTTTGCATAGTAGGAATGTTTGAATCTTTAGCTGTCAGCTTAACTGCTCCTCCTTAGAGAGCTCCCTTGACCTTCTATCTGGGGTTCTTGTTTTTGTCAATCATGGAATATTCTTCTTTTCCTTTGTAGCTTTCATCTTCATTGGTATAATAGCACTGTGTGCTAATCGGTTTACAATCTGTCTCCCTCTCCAAACTGTAAGTTCCTACATAGTACAACACAGTGGTTATCCAAGAATGTGCACTCAGTGAAGAGATGATGCCTGAATGGATGACTCCACTTAGTTTCCGCTTCCTCCTCTATAATAGTAGAATAATGTACCTACCTCTTAGCATTGTTGTGAGGATTAAATGCACAAATATGTATAAAACTGCTTAGCACCACGCCAGGTATATGTGTTCAATAAATAGTAACCTAAAATTATCATTAATTGTCTATGGACTTAACAACTTATAAGTTATTGATTATTTTATCAAATGTATTATTTTGTGGAGTGATAGGAGTGGAACAGAGGAAGGGAAATATATGAGTATAAAATACTTTTATAGAAGCATAGTTGTGAAAAGAGAAGATTAGAGTTACAAGGGCACATAGGGTAGCAGTGAGATTGTGTGTGTGTGTGTGTAATTTGTTTATGTGCTGAGATACTGAAAAATACAGGTTACAAGAGACAGATTGGTAAAATATGATATCAATGAAGCATGAGAAGATTGTATTGAGTTTAAAGATAAATTAGTCTTGGATAGAACAAGGAACATCTCTTCTTCAGAAATAGGAGAGAAAGATGCAGGGATGAATATAGACGTAACAATAGAAATTATTTTTATAGTAAAAATTTATTTAGAATACTTACTGGGAAGCAATATGTTAAGTTTTATATATATATAAAGTTTTGTGTATATATATATATATATATATATATATATATATATATATACACACACACACATATACATATATGGTTCATATAATCTACTGAAGGACACATACTTAGCCCATGATACAAACAGGCTTCTCTGCCTTCATGGACCAGCTTGAAATTACATGGTTAAGTTGCTTCTCATAGAGATAAGTCATTGCAGGTAGGTTCTAAATTGAAAGCATTGAGTTTTGGGATTTCTAATTTTTAATTTCTAATTAGAAATTTGTAATTTCTTTGGGAGAAAAGAGGTCAGTTTTTGGTAGACTATGTATGTGTGGGAGGGTATACAGGCAATAAAATATGGAAGAACTTGAGAAGAGTGGTGAAGGTTTGCCGTAAAGACCATGGGATTTGAAACTGGCTTTAGACTCCAGAAACTGTGCATTTCTGTTAGGTATCACTGATCCTAACAGCACCATCAGCCTCCGTACTGGAGAGAGTAAGTGAAGGGTTAGCTTGACCCATGGTTGGACAGTTGCTGCTGAAAGCTAAAGGGAGAAGTAGGATTGGTGACACTAGTAAGGAGGCAAGGAAATTGGTTAACCATCAGATCTAGATTGGATAAGTAAATACATGAAGCCAGGAAGACATAATATTGCTTAGGGAAAAAAGAAAAGTCAAAGAATTAGAAAACAACAGATCAGAGTGGGAATAGGTAGCTAGAAAAATAAAAAGAAAACTGAGTTAATAATTTTAGGAATATACAAAAAATGAATGATGACAAGACCCAGAGAAGACTGCTGAAATTAAAGAGAGAGATCGCAAAACAATACAGGGTGGAGTTACCCAGAGAAATTAGATTTAAAGACAAGGACTTCAGGACTTCATGGCGCATATGCAGAAGTCCTGTGCATATAAAGCCAAGGTTTTCTGGTGGAGGGGACATTCTATGACTCTCTAAGTGTATCCCGGAATCCCACAAAGGAGGCTTTTCCTTGGTTGACAGTTTGATAATGTTAAATAACTATAAAGAAGCCCTTTGTCTTTATCTCTGACAGTAGTTGGCATTCTCCTAAAACAATCCACAATTTCTGCCAAAATATGTTCAGGAAATATGAGCTGTTGCAGCTGTGACCCCTTTTGATAACCGCAAACTGAATCATGGAATACAGTTCAGCTGAGTAATAAAATATAATCAGATTGGCAGACGGCATCAGACTGGGCCATACTCATACAGATCTTCTTTTAACCCAGTTTAACAAGTTGCTCTCTAGAAGTTATTTATTCCACCTGTCAACATTTCTATTGTGGAAATCACAGCCATCAAATCTCTTTTAGATCCTAATCCTATTCTTTTCTCTTCTGCCTCAGGTAGTGGAAAGCCTCATATAAGCAATACCGTTTGAGTCAGCTAACTGATTTGTTGGACACTGATCATTTGCTTGAAGGAATAGCTATTATCTTAAAAAAATAAATGTAATATCCCTGTCATTAGCTATGTAGTAAATTTAAAATAAATATCTGCAACCAAAATTACTTTGAAATCTTATAAGGTCTGGATTAGTGTAGGTAGCTGTCCAACCAGCAGTAAGCTGCCATTCGACTCCAAACTGCCTAATAAACTGTCATTCTGAGCTGCTGCATCACCACGAGGTACTGTCACACTGAGTTTTGCATTTCATTCTCAACCTCATTCTTAACTAAGATTTGGTGCTAATAAGACCAAGGGAGGTCAGTGGTTAGGAGGAGATGACCTTCAATTTGAGTCCTCATATTTAATAGTAACAAAGAGAATCATTAATTACTAAATGGATGCACAGATTAAGATGATAATCATAGAAAATCAATAGTTGATATGGGCCAGACCTAGGCAGATCTCATCTTAGGTTTAACCAAATGCCTTTCATAATTTCACTTGCCTTTTAATAAAAATAGCCAGAATTTATTGACTATTTTCTTTGTGCCATATGTTGTTCTTAGTGTTTTTTTGTGTGTGTATTTAACCATATGTGATATATACTATCATTGTCTTTATGGCACAAACAAGAATAAACAAGAAGACTCAAGCTTAGGGGATGCAAGTACCTTGCCCGTAGCTAGGAAGTAGTAGTTTCAGGGTTTGGACAGAGGTAGTTGAGTTCTAGGGCCTGAATTTATAAGCACCGTACATAGAGTTCTATCTATACATGCTCCTGTTTTAGAGCTGAACCCAGAACTGCAAGGAAAATATGCTGCTCAGCTCAGGAATTCTTAAGTCCTAAAATTGAGAATCTGGGGTAATCAAGTTATTGGAATTAAAAATAAAAAGAAAGATGAAATAGAGAACTGCGCTTCTGAAAAGTTCTATATTGTCACAAAAGACCACCATTCCTGCTGTTACAAAAGAAAACCCTAGATAAAAAAAAATGTTTTTCTTCAAAAGCATAAAATCTGTGGATGCAGAGAAGTCTAAATAAACAAAATTCTAGAGTGAGACAAGGATACAAATGGTGAGCAGGGACCAGTGACTGCTTTGATTACTAGAACATTTGCAAAAACTCAAGGCATGAGCAGAGGGGGAAGCGTACTTGCTGTAGGTAGAAGAAACCATATTGGGACAAGAAGAAACCAGCTAGATTTTGAACAGCTCCCCAAGGCCTGGCATGGCAGACTGGAATATGGAGGAGCTTCAAACTCAGAGCTAGTTTTCTCCACCGACCAATTCTCCCTTAAATATGCAGCAGCGTAAGGAACTGGAAGCAGTGGAAAGGAGATGAAAGAGAGAGAGAGAAAGAGAGAGAGAGAGAGAGAGAGAGAGAGATCAGTCTTGCTATGCTTAGATTTAAAATCCTATTGGAGAGAGAAGGCTGATCCCATTCTTAAGACATTTAAAATGCAGAGGTGAGCTTAAGTAACCCAGCCTTCACACAGCTCAGCTTCTTAGTAGATCAGAGATAGTCTATCTTATTAGATAACTGACAGAGAAAAGGTCAAGTACTTTTTGGAGGCCAAATAATAAGTACTCTAGTCTCTACTATTATTTTATACATGATGTTTATTATATAATAAAATTATGAGATATGCAAAGAGGGAGAAATGTATGATCCACGAATTTAAAAAAAATCAGAAAAAAGAAAACTCATAACTGAGGAAGGATGACAAGGACATTAGCATAAAAGTACTAATATATTAAAAACTTTAGAAGAAAATTTGGAAAAAATGAGTAAAACATTGAGTTATTTCAACAAAGATATCAAAACTGTTTTTTAATCAAAAGGAAATTATAGAACTTAAAAATATAGTTTATAAAAAATGGATTCTTTGGATAGGGTAGCAAAAGACTGGACACAGTAGAATTTGTAAACAGTTTGAAAAATTACCGGAAGCACAGGGGAAATAAATGAATAAAAGAAAAAGCTATTAGGGATTTTTGTGATGATATCAAATGGTCTCACATACACTTAATTTCAGCCTCAGAAAGAGAGGATAGAGAGAATGGGGCAAAAACAATACTAGAATAAATAATGACCAATAATTTTCAAAAATGGATGAATACATTAACCCAGAAAGCCAAGAAACTTGGTAATCCCAAGCAGGACAAACATTAAAAAAAAATACCTGTCTGGGCATGGTGGCTCATGCCTGTAATCCTAGCATTTTGGGAGGCTGAGGCAGGAGGATCACTTGAGTTCGGGAGTTGGAGACCAGTCTGCACAAGATGATGAAACCCTGTCTCTATGAAATAAAAATAAAATGTTACCGGGCACAGTAGCATGCATCTGTCATCCTAGCTACTCAGGAAGCTGAGGTGGGAGGACCCCTTGAACCTAGGAGTTGAAGGTGGCAGTGAGCTATGATGGTGCCACTGCACTCCAGCCTGGATGACAAAATGAGACCTTGTCTCTAAAAAAATAAGAAAGAAAGAAATGGAAAAAGAAATTATACCCAAGCCAATCATAGTCAAACAGCTGAAAACTAAAAGTGATGAGATCTTCTTAGGCAGTCAGAAAAGACATTAAATCAGAGAACAATGAAATTGACAGTTGACTTCTCATGAGAAACAATAGAAGCCAGAATAAATGGACTATCTTTAATGTATTGGGAAGAAAAGAAAAAACTATCAACCTAGAATTTTATTACAGAGAAAATACTCTTCACAAATGAGGATGAACATGAAGATATTTTAAAACCAAGGAAAAAAAGACTGAGACAGTATATCATGCCTGGAAACACACTACACAAAATACTAAAATAATTTTATGCAGAAATGATCCCACCTAACATGAAAATGGAAACTAAGATATCAAGAAAGAAAAAAGAGTAATAAAAATATATGTAGGTGGATATGAGAAGCCTTTTTTCCCTATTTTTAAAAGTAAATTGGCAAATATAAAGCCAATATATTACAGAGTTTTAAATATAGGCAGAAATAAAATATGTGTTAACAGTACTATAAAGGGTTGGTGGAAGATAAAATGAAATATATAGTTATAAAATTATCGCCTTGTTAATTTAGATAACATTAATTCAAAGTACACTATGACAACATAAGAATGCATGTTATAATCTCTAGTGTAACCACTAAAAAATACAAAAGTAAGCACAGAACAGAGGAAACAAAATGGAAAACTTTAAGCATTATAAAATACTCTTTGGTTTTAAGCAGTTTAAATTTTGTGTGGGTTTTTTTTTTTTTAAATTGATCCTTCTTGAGTTTCTTTGAGCTTTTTGGATTTGTGTAGACATCTTTCATTAGTTTTGAATTTTTTTTTTTGAGGCAGAGTCTAGTTCTGTCGCCAGGCTGGAGTGCAGTGGTGCCATCTCAGCGCACTGCAACCTCCGCCTCCCGGGTTCAAGTGATTCTCCTGCCTCAGCCTCCCAAGTAGCTGGAACTATAGGTGTGTGCTACCATGCCCAGCTAATTTTTGTATTTTTAGTAGAGGCGGGGTTTCACCATGTTGGCCAGGATGGTCTCACTCTCTTGACATCGTGATCCGCCCACCTCGGCCTCCCAAAGTGCTGGGATTACAGAGTTTTGAAATTTTAAAAAACAATTATCTCTTCTAGTATTGCTTCTGTCTTATGCTTTATCTACTCTCCAATATATTTTTAAATCTGTTATGTTTTTTCTATATTTTTTCCCTTTGTGTTTTAGATATTTTTAATTAACCTATCTTCAGGTTCAATCATCCTGTCTTCTGCTGTATTTAGTGAAACTTAGTTTAACTCTGGTTCATCCCTTTTCTTCAGGTCTAGTCCACGTTGGCATTTGATTGAGATTTTGGTTAGTCTCTTCTTCTTAGCCCTAAAAAATTAAACAAGACTCAGTTCTATTATTTAGAGATTTTGAGCTTAGCTCTTTAGCTCCTACTCTAGACAGCTTCAAAAATCTACCATATGTCTTAAGGAGAAACTCACCCTGTATTTATGTCAAACTTCCTATCTCTAGCAAGATGTATTTCTTATGCACTGCAGGAGATTTTAGTCTGCCATCTATAAATTACTTGGCTTCTCTTCAGTGTATTGCACAATTCCAGAACTTAACTAACGTCTCCTGGTACAAACCAAGTGTTTGGGAATCATCATTTCTAATCTATCACATCTGTCAAAAACTCGACTGGTTTCTCTTTCCCCTACTAGGGCGTCTTTCCCTAGGCAAATGAATTTGCACCTGCCCTTAGAGCAAGTGAATGGCCTCAGGGAAGTAAATGGTTAGTGATCTAATGGGTTCTGTGTTGCAGTAACAGAATACCTGAGACTGAGTAATTTATAACGAGATAAGTTTATTTGTTTCATGATTCTAGAGGCAGGGAACTGCAAAATCAGGTAGCCTATCTGATGACGGTCACGTACTGCTTCAACTCATGGTAGAAACCAGAAGGGAGGGAGTGGGAATGTGTAAAAAAACTAAATATAAGAAGGAACAACCCACTTCATGGTAAGTAACCCAGTTGTGCAAGAGTGAGAACTCACCCTTAGAAGAAGGCATTAGTCTATTTACGAAGGATCTGCCCATGTGACCCAAACACCTCCCACGAGTTCCCACTTCTCAACATTCACACTGAAACTGACAATTTGGAATCATATTTCAACATGAGTTTTGGTGGGAACAAACCGCATCCAAACCATAGCAGCTAGCAATTATTAGCCCAAACAAGAAGGGTTCTTTCTCTGTGGAACCAGTTCTTTTGACCTTTCTGGTATCCCTACAAATATTACTTTGTAAAATGTATCCATCATTTTTTCTAGTTGTTGCTTAGTGTTGGCTTGCTGAAATATGCCACACCCTATTTAGAAGTAGAAATATAGATTATGTTGATTTTGATCCACCATTTTTACTGGTGAGTATAGATCCACTATTCTTTGTAGCATATCTCTTATTCTGTGAGTCAGGGAAACAATGGGAGGTTTCCTTCAGTTCGGGACATCTATTCTATCTATTCAAGAACTTGGAAAATATTCATTAATATAAGTTTGGATGTATTAGGTCCTCTAAAAACAGTCTTAGTAAAAGCTTAATTTATTGCCTGAAACTTATTCCTATTATGATGGTGCACTGTCAGTAAGTTGGTTGTCAAGGATTTACTAATCTAAAGAAAATAGTGTTTGTTAAATTAGTATAAACAGCCACCAGTCTCTCCTCATTCATCATTAAAATTTGATTATTTCCCTTCTTCAGGTACTAGCATGAAGGTTAATGGCTCCACATCCTTTAGAAAAGGCTAGGAGGAATTTTCATGGTATACTTTTATATGACATACCATCATCTTTCATGAGGCATAGTGAGCCTTCCACTTTTCAAAAGGCTCTGCATTTGTAAAGTAAACCAGGTCTGGAAAGAGGCTAATGTGTCATGACTAGATAAGTGGTCTGAATCAGGCCCCTGATAAAACAACTTAGAGAAATGTTTGTATCACATAACAAGTAACTCCCTACTGAGTTGTTTATTTTATTTTATGGACTCTGTGATTATTTATACATAACCAGAGACATCTACCTTTTAGACAATTCTAAAAAATATGACTGTACTTGTTCTGTTGGCTGTTGAGCAATTCATCCCCACCATGTTCCTTGTTTGAAGTCTGCCTCTAGGCTGACCAGCACCAAACATCTTCTATCCCAATCCATTACAATTTCAGTCCCTTTTACCAGAATTCATGGTCTAGGAAGACCTGCTTAGTTTTTTTTGAGTCCTAGTATTCTTACCACCTATACATTCCACAGGGATATTTTGGGGAACAGGGGAGAAAATAGAGAACTCAAGAAAAAGGTTATACTTGAAATTCTGGATAAACCCTATTTTATCATGTTGGATTATTCTTTAATATACAATATAGTTGGATTTCAGCTTCTTGTGTTATTTAGGATTTTAACAGCCACACTCATAAACGAGATTAGTATAGTTTCTTTTCTGTGCTTGGTTGAGTTATGAATAGCTCCATCTTATTCTTCACATTCTGTTTCTTAAAACTACAAGTTTAAATAGAAAGAAATCATTTATTACACTAAGTGGGAAGAATGCATTTTTTAAAAATGCAATTCTTTGAAAAATTCTCTGAAAAATTTTAAAATCTCTTCTAAGTTTTCCATTTCTTGAATAAAATTTTGGTTATCTTATTTTTTCTAGAAAACCAACCAGTTTATCAATATTTTCAAATGTATCAACCACTCTCATGAATGTTATTGTCTTATGATTTAAAATTTCTCTGTTTATTATCTTAATTTGTTTGCATTTGCTCCCTTTTGGAATTGCTATAAATGTATCTCCATCTGCTAAAAAGACGTAGCACCTACATTAATTTATCAAAATGGCTGTTTTTCTCTAGTTCTGCCATTACGTTTATTATTTATTTTCTCATAATATAATGGTACCTGTTGCCTTCTTTTCCAGATCTTGAATTGCCCTTTTAATTCATTCATTTTAATAATGAAAACATTTAAATACATACAATTTTTAAATATAATTTGGAAACATTTCAAAGATTTTTTGAAGTTATATCATGAATTATCATTATCATATGCCGCTTGCTGGATTATTGGAAGCATTCACTAATCTCTTCCTACTTGCCACTAAAGCTTGGTTATTTCCCTTCCCTTTGTACTGTCATTCAAGTTAATGTCTCCCTATTCTTTTTAGGAGAGGCTAGAAGGAGTTCTCATGGTATGTCCTACCTAAATCCATTATGATTTACAAATGCTTATAAATCTGCCTTCTATGAGTGGAGCTTTAAGCTACTTTCATTTTTTACTATTTAAAATAGTACATAATGAATGACCTTACTTTTCAGTCATTTTGCATTTTTGCAAGAATATCTTTGGAATAGAACCCAAGAGGTGAGTAGATTGCATCAAAGGGTAAACGTGTGGCTGTGATTCAGATATTGTCAAGTTTTCCACCAAAGGGATTTAAACTAATTTGCATTTATATTCTTAGCACCACTGTATCTATCTTCCACAGCCTTGACTAACAAGTACATTGTCAAGTTTTCTGATTTTTGTTCGTCTAATTGGGTTAGAGATATTTCTCACTGTAGTTTTCATCCAGACCATGATAAAGGTTAAATCGTATATTGTGAAATGTACAAAACTTGTGTATAATGTATGAACTTGTATAACCCCTCCTACTTTCAAGACAAGGAATATTCTCATCATCCCAGAAAGTTTTGTCATGCCTCTTTCCTAAATCCTCCACCTCTAAGCAACCAGCTTTCTTATTTTTATAATCTTGGATTAGGTTTGCGTCTTCTACAACTTCATACCAGTGGAATTATACAGTATGAATTATTTTGCTTTTTTGAGTCTGCATAATGTTTTTAAGATGCATCTGTGTGGTTCCATATATGAATTGGTCATTCATTTTTACTGCCAGATTGCATTCTATTACATGAATACCAAAATCTTTTTATTTCTCTTTCTGTTGGTGGACACTTGGGTTGTCTCCAGTTTAGTCATTCTAGTGAGTGAGGAGTGATATCTCATTTTGGTTGTAACACATTTTCCTAATGCGTAATCATCTTGAGTGCTTTTTCTTCTGCTTAATGGCTATTTGTATATCTTTCTATGCAGCATATCTTATAAAATTTGTCATTAAAAATTGATTGTCTTTTTAATATTGAGTTACAGAATGTGTGTATATATCCTGGATACAATATCTTTGCCAGAAAGATGTATTTTTTTTATTTTTTTTATTTTTTTTATTATTATACTTTAAGTTTTAGGGTACATGTGCACAATGTGCAGGTTAGTTACATATGTATACATGTGACATGCTGGTGCGCTGCACCCACTAACTCGTCATCTAGCATTAGGTATATCTCCCAATGCTCTCCCTCCCCACTCCCCCCACCCCACAACAGTCCCCAGAGTGTGATGTTCCCCTTCCTGTGTCCATGTGCTCTCAATGTTCAATTCCCACCTATGAGTGAGAATATGTGGTGTTTGGTTTTTTGTTCTTGCGATAGTTTACTGAGAATGATGATTTCCAATTTCATCCATGTCCCTACAAAGTACATGAACTCATCCTTTTTTATGGCTGCATAGTATTCCATGGTGTATATGTGCCACATTTTCTTAATCCAGTCTATCGTTGTTGGACATTTGGGTTGGTTCCAAGTCTTTGCTATTGTGAGTAGTGCCGCAATAAACATACGTGTGCATGTGTCTTTATAGCAGCATGATTTATAGTCCTTTGGGTATATACCCAATTGAGAATACTATCTTCCAATCCGTAGCTTTAGGGTCCATTTTCTTAATGGCATCTTTTGATGAGCAAAAGTTGAACTTTTTTTGATATTTTATCAATTATCAATGTATAGGTTTATTTTTTTGATTTGTGCTTTTTGTATCTAATACAAAAATCTTTGTCTACAGATAGATTTCCAAATTCTTCCTAAATTTAGGGAGAAAGTATTCAGTCTATCACCATAAGTCTGACATTAGCTGCAGGTTTTTATAGAATCACGTTACCAAATTAAAAATATTTCCTTCCATCTCTAATTTGTTAAGAATTTTTGCTTTTTACAATATGTGTTTTTAAATAGTTTTATTAAGTTATGATTTACATACATTAAAATTGATGCTTTTCATGTGCATAGTTCAATGAGTTTGGTCAAGCATGTACTATCAATTAAGTAAATAAGATATAGAATATCTGTAGTATTTCAAAAATGTTCCTCATTTTCTTTGGTAATCAGTCCTCTACCCTAACCCCAGCAACCAGAAACCACTAATATGTTCCCTGTTTCTATGGAGTTTTCTTTTCAGATTGTCTTATAACTGGAATCATATCATAGGTAACTCCTTGAGTCTAGATTTTTCACTTAGCATAATGTGTTTGAAATTCATCCATGTTGTTGCATGTATAAGTAATTCATTTCTGTTTTTATTATTGAGTAGTTTTCCATTGCATAGATGTATTACCATTTGTTTACCCATTTGTGCCATTTCAGATTTTGATAATTATGAATGAGGCACTGTAAAAATTTATGCACAAGATTTGTGTGGACATATGTTTTTATTTATGAGTAAATAACAAGGAATACAATTGCTGGGTCATATGGTAAAAGGACATTTGGCTATTAAAAAATGCCAAACTACATAGTTCCTGACTTTATGTTTTGTTTTGTTTTTTCTAATTGGTTTCCAACTTCTAATTGTTAAACTACCCAAATACAACAGCTTTTGGTGTGTTAACCTTGTATCCTGCCTTGCTAAACACATTAGTTCTAGGAGTATTTTCTAGGTTCCTAGATTCCTATTTTTCTACACTGATGATCATATTACCTGGGATTAGGAACGTTTTATTTCTTCCTTCCCAATCTGTATGCCTTTTATTTGTTTTACTTGCCTTGTTCACTGGCTAGAATTTCCAGTACAATTTTGAATATGAATGGTGAGAGTGAACATCCTTGCTTTGTTTCCGACCTTAGAAGGAAAAGTTTTCAGTCTTTCACAATTTAGAATGATGTTAGCAGTAGGATTTTTGTAGATGTCCTTTGCCAAGTTAAACAATTTTCCTAGGTCTGGTTTGCCAAAAGTTATTATAAATGGATTTTGAATTTTGTCAATCGCTTTTGCTGTATCAATTCCCATGATCATGGGGCTTTGTTCTTTTGCTTGCCAGTGTGGCGAAAACATTAGTTGATTTTCAAATATGGAACTTGTCTTGCATTTCTATGATAAACTCCACTCACTCAGGCATGGTATAGTATTCTTTTTATGCTATAGTTGATTTGCTAATATTTTGTTGAGATTTTTGCATCTATGTTTATGAGGGACATTGATTTGTAGTTTTCTTTCTGTACTCCATCAGTTTTGTGTTTGTTCTTGTTGTATTAAATCAAGGTAATGTTGTTACCATAAAGTGAGTTTGGTATTGTTCCCTAATCTATTTTCTGGAAGAGATTGTGTAGAATTGATGTTAATTCTTTTATAAATGTTGGATAGAATTTACCAGTGAAACCATCTGGGCTTGAAGATCTCTTTTTCAGGAGGTTTTGTTTTTTTAATTTTTAACATAGCTCTAAGATTATTCAAATTATCTCTTACCTTCGGTGAGTTTTAGTTATTTGTAATTCTTAAGGAATTGATTGATTTCATCCAATTTGTCAAATTTATGTGCATAAAGTTGGTTTAGACAATTCCTGTATTATCCTTTTAGTTTGAATGAGTCTGTAGTGATTTCCTATTTCATTCCAGATATTAGTCGTTTTTGTCTTTCTCTGTCAATTTTGCTAGAGGTTTATCAATTGTATTCATCTTTTCAAAAATCAGCTTTTGGTTAAGTTGCTTTCTCAATTGCTTTCCTGCTTTCAATTCCATTGCTTTCTGTTATCTTTACTATTTCTTCCTTCTGCTTCCTTTGAGTTTATTTTGGTCTTCTTTTTTTATAATTGCTCAAGATTGAAGCTAAAATGATTAATTTAAGATGTTCTTTTCTAATATAAGCATTTAATGCTATTAATTTCCCTCCAAGTGCTACTTTAGCTGCATCCCACATATTTTAATGTGTTGTATTTTCATTTTTATCCATATAAGATTTCCTCTTACATCCAAGCTGTCAATAAGTTTATTCCATCAGATTGGGCTAGTACTCTAACATCCTCTAGCACTGCTCAAATTCTAATATCCTGTTCCACTCACAAACTTATATTAGTAACTTTCTGGTAGGCCTCAAGTAGTCAGGTTTCTTTCTCTTTTCCTTTTTTTTTTTTTTTTTTTTTTTTTGAGATGGAGTTTTGTTCTTGTCACCCAGGCTGGAGTGCAGTGGTGCAGTCTTGTCTCAGTGCAACCTCCACCTCCTGAGTTCAAGCGATTCTCTTGCCTCAGCCTCCCAAGTAGCTGGAATTACAAGTCCCCACCACCATGCCTGGCTTATTTTTGTATTTTTAGTAGAGACTGGGTTTTGCAATGTTGGCCGAGCTGGTCTCGATCACCTGACTTCAGGTGATTCAGCTACCTCGGCCTCCCAAAGTGCTGGGTTTATAGACGTGAGCCACTGCACCTGGCCATAGTCAGGTCTTGTACATTTGCAGCCCAGCCATCACCAAAAACTTTGGGGGAAATTCGACACAGATTTCTGCCTGATTTATTTTTCCTCACATGTATTTCTCTGTGCCTCATGTCTTGCAACCTCCAGCCACTGAAGCCACCTTGAAAGCTGATGTCTCCCTCCTCTGTGTAGCAGGAGAGCTGTTTTGTGCTTGGATGTCAGATCACTGTGCCATAATCTGGAAACTGTTCCCAGAGAGTTGGTTTATCTTGGGCTCAAGTTGTGGCAGGGATTATCGTCTTACACTTTCTGTTGTTCAGTGTCTGAAAATCATTGTAACATCTATTTTGTCTGATTTTTCTGGTTGTTTATAGCAGCAGGCATAATTTGACACCATTTTCTATATCATAGCTAAAAGAAGAAGTCTCTCATGAATTTCAATTTGTTATATATACTCATTTTCTTTACTTCTTAAATAGATTGAAATTTCATTTTTGATTCCTTATTTCTTCTTTAACATAACAATTCTATTTTAATTTAAAATTATTTATGTATGTTTTACATTATGCTCAGGTAAATTATAAAGACGAATCATCATGACCTAGTAGAGGGATTTTAATTTTTAGAATTTTGATTTTTAATTTTTAATTTCAATTTTTAAAATGTGATTCGAAAGCCGTCTCAAGTAAAAAATGCAAGGCTAAGTGAATGCTTTGAGAATTTCAAATCATTCTTCCACCAGAAAAACTCTACTTTTATTGTTCCTGATAAAATTTCCACTAAAGAAACAGTTGGAAAATTACTGACATAAATGTGCTCAAATTTTTGCTAATGTTTCATGGACACTTAAAATGAAGATGCAATCTTAGATTGGATTGTAGAAGATACACACATACATACATGCACACCTGTATACAAACGCACACATAAAGGGTATACATACATAAGCATATATACCTCTAATGTAATTATACTATATTCTCATTCTCTCTATACTTATTTATTTTGCATCTCCTTAGTCTACTGAATAAATAGCCCTAAAACAGTTTTCCATGACCCTAAATTAATTTCTTCACATATTTTATATTTTTGCTTTTTGTACTTTATTTTATCTTATTTTGTATAAAGGCTGCTAATTCTATACCTTTATTAGAAATTTTACCCTTAAGTATCAAGTGGCTTTTATTTATTTAATGCTTTTTGTCTTAAACTTTGTCCCTAGAATTTATATTGTTGATTTTCCTTTTGTTTATTCATTTGAATGTGTCTGATGTATCTTTAATATTTAACCTTTCTCTTTTGTTAGGTGAACATGATAAGCTCTCTTCATTGGCTTTTGTTCTTAAAGGACCATATCTTTCATGAGAGGAAGACCAGCCTATTTGGCTTCATTATCACAATTGATTTGTCTAAGTTTATATTCATTTATTACAACTTTTATTTTTGAACTTTGTTTCTTTTATTTTCTATGTAAACCATGCTTGTTTTCAAACATTTTAAATTTTATTTTCACTTGTAGCTTTCCATAAACATGTTTTTCTCCTAAAAACAAATGCAAAAGTGAAATAATAGTTACGATGAACTCTATTTTTCTCTCCCACTAATTTCTTCTCTCCCCATTTCAAATCTCTTCTGATTTAATCAGTTTACCAGTAACATCAAATTACAGTTTTGAAGTTGTTTGGCACTTTTTTTTGTTTACCAATTAATTTAATTATTTTATTATGATAAGAACATTTAATATGAGATTTACCCTTTAAAGAAGTTTTTTGGTTTTTGGTTTTTGGTTTTGGAGACAGGGTCTCACTCTGTCACCCAGGCTGGAGTGCAGTGGTACAATCATAGCTCACTGCATCCTTGCACTTCTGGGCTCCAGCAGTCCTCCCAACTCAGCCTTCTGAGTAGCTGGAACCACGGGTGTATGCCACCATGCCCAGCTACCTTTTGTATTTTTTATACACACCTGGTCTCACTATGTTGCCCAGGCTGATCTTGAACTTCTGGGCTCAAGTGATCCTCCTGCCTCAGCCTCTCAGAGCTCTGGGATTACAGGCATGAGCCACTGCATCGGCATTAAGAAGTTTTTAAATGCATAGTACAGTATTGTTAACTATAGGTGCAATCTGGCACAGCTGACATCTAGAATGTATTCATCTTCTATAACTGAGGCTTCATATCCCTTGATCAACAACTCTTCATTTTCATCTCTCTCCTCGCTTCTGGAAACTAATGTTCTTTTTTAAAACAATTTTTATTTCAATAGCTTTTGGAGAATAGATGGTTTTTGGTTACATGGATAAGTTCTTTAGCGGTGATTTCCGAGATTTTGGTGCACCTGTCATCCAAGCAGTGTACACTGTACCCAATGTGTGGTCTTTTATCCCTCACCACCTCCCACCATTCCCCATAGAATCCCCAAAGTCTGTTATATCATTCTTCGGCCCTTGTATCCTCATAGCTTAGCTGCCACTTACAAGTGAGAACATGTGATACTTGGTTTTCCCTTCCTGAATTACTTCACTTAGCATAATTGTCTCAAACTCCATCAAGTTGGTGCAAATGCCATTATTTCATTCCCCTTTATGGCTGTGTAGTATTACATGGTGTGTATATACCAATATTTTTTAAATTTGAAGTTTCAGCATATATGTGCAGGATGTGCAGCTTAGTTACATAGGCAAACATGCGCCATGGTGGTTTGTTGCACCTATCAACCCATCACCTAGATACCATATCTTCTTTTTTTTTTTTTTTTTGCTTTTGTTAAAATTATACTTTTAAGTTCTAGGGTACATGTGCCCAACGTGCAGGTTTGTTACATATGTATACATGTGCCATGCTGGTGTGCTGCACCCATCAACTCATCATTTACATTAGGTATATCTCCTAATGCTATCCCTCCCTCCTCTCCCCACCCCATGACAGGCCTCAGTGTGTGATGTTCCCCACCCTGTGTCCAAGTGTTCTCATATACCACATCTTCTTTATTCACTCATTGGTTGATGGGCATTTAGGCTGGTTCCATGTCTTTGCAATTGTGAATTGTGCTATTATAAACATGTGCATGCGAGTGTCTTTTTCATATAATAACTTCTTTTCCTCTGGGTAGATACCCAGTAGTGGTATTGCTGGATCAAATGGTAGTTCAACTTTTAGTTCCTTAAGGCATCTCCATCCTGTTTTCCATAGTGGTTATATTAGTTTACATTCCCACTAGCAGTATGAAAGTGTTTCCTTTTCACCACATCCATGCAAACATCTATTATTTTTGTTTTGCTTTTCTAAATTATGGCCATTCCTGCAGGAGTAAGTGGTATCTCATTGTGGTTTTAGTTTGCATTTCCCTGATAATTAGTGATGTTGAGCATTTTTTATGTGTTTATTGACTGCTTATGTATCTTCTGTTGAGAATTGTCTATTCATATCCTTAGCCCACTTTTTGATGGTATTACTATTTTTTTTCTTGCTGATTTGTTTGAGTTCCTTGTAGATTCTGGATATTAGTCCTTCGTCAGATGCATAGTTTGCAAAGATTTTCTCCCACTCTGTGGGTTGTCTGTTTATTCTGCTGATTATTAATTTTGCTGTGCAGAAGCTTTTTAGTTTAATTATGTCCCATCTACTTATCTTTGTTTTTGTTGCATTTGCTTTTGGGTTCTTGGTGATGAATTCTTTGCCTAAGCCAATGTCTAGAAGAGTTTTTCTGATGTTTCCTTCTAGAATTTTTATAGTTTCACGTCTTAGATTTAAGTCTTTGATCCATCTTTAGTTGATTTTTGTGTAAAGTGAGAGATGAGAATCCAGTTTCATTCTTCTACATGTGGTTTGCCAATTATCGCAGCACCATTTGTTGCATAGGGTTTCCTTTTCCCACTTTATGTTTTTGTATGATTTGTCAAAGATCAGTTGGTTGTAAGTATATGGGTTTATTTCTGGGTTCTCTATTCTGTTCCATTGGTCTATGTGCCTATTTTTATACCAGTAACGTGCTGTTTTGGTAACTATAGCCTTGTAGCATAGTTTGAAGTCGGGTAATGTGATGCCTCCTGGTTTGTTCTTTTTGCTTAATGTTGATTTGGCTATGCAGGCTCTTTTTTGGTTCCACATGAATTTTAGGATTTTTTTCCAGTTCTGTGAAGAATGGTGGTGGTATTTTGATGGAAATTTATTAAATCTGTATATTGCTTTTGGCAGTATGGTCATTTACATAATATTGATTCTACCAATCCATGACCTTGGGATGTTTGTGTCATCTATGATTTCTTTCAGCAGTGTTTTATAGTTTTCCTTGTAGTGGTCTTTTACCTCCTTGGTTAAGTATATTGCTAAATTATCTTATTTTTTTGCAGCTATTGTTAAAGGGATTGAGTTGTTGATTTGATTCTCAGCTTGGTCGTTGTTGGTGTATAGCAGTGCTACTGATTCAAGTACATTGATTTTGTATCCTGAGTATTCTACTCTCTGTTTCTATGAGTTTGGTTATTTTAGGTAACTCATGTAAGTGGGTTAATGCAGTATTTGTCCTTCTGTGACAGGCTTATTTCACTTGGCATAATGTCCTTGAGGTTCATCTGTCTTGTCACTTCTAGCAGGATTTCCTTCTTTTTAAAGGCTGAATAATATTCCATTTTATGTATATACCACATTTTCTTTATCCATTGGTTGTTCAGTATTCATATATTCATTGATATTTAAGTTGTTTCCTCATCTTGGCTACTGTGAATAGTGTTGAAATAAACACAGATGTGCTAATATCTCTTCAAGATACTGAATTCAGGCCCATTGATTATTCCCATGTGACCACTCTCTTGAAGTTAGGTGGAGGTCAAGAGGGAATACCCATGGAACCATTATCCCCAAAAAGATTCTCATCACAAATATGCTCTTCATCTCTGTTCTCTTGACCCTTGTATCCTTGATATGGGCAGGAAGGTGGAGGCTGTGTCTGGTGTGTCTAAGAATTAGACACTTGTTCTTATCATTTCCTCTGAAAGTTTGCATCTTGATTGTGTATGTGAACCTGGTGTCCATTATAATTGCAACTCAGATAAAACTTCTAACTTAACATTCTTTTACAAAGACATTAATTAAGCTAATACATCAAAAACTAGGGCAAGAGGTTCTGAGTTATAGAAGTAGGCAGTTAGTGAAACAATGAACAGAAATTAGGATGTGTTAATTCCTTCAATAGACATTGAATCTTTATCATATAACAGCTTCAGAAAAAGGCATCAGGGGTAGAGAGAAGTAGAAAACATACATAGGCACTGCATTCATGGAGCTTATAGTCTAAATACAGAGAGCAATATTAATGAAATAATCAGACAAAATAATACAGTCGACCCTTGAACTGCACAGGTCTAAACTGTGCAGGTCCACTCACATGTGGATTTTCTTTTATATCTCTCACCCTTGAGACAAGACCAACCCCACCTCCTCCTTCTGCTCTTCCTCAGCCTTCTCAACATGAAGACAATGAGGACTTTTATGATTATCTACTTCTGCTTAATGAATAAAGTAAATATATTTTGTCTTCCTTATAATTTTTAAAAACATTTTCTTTTCTCTAGCTTTATCATTAGAATACAGTATACGATTCATATAACATACAAAAAGAAAAGTTCCTGAATTCAATTCTTCTGCCTATATACCCAGAAGTGGGATTGCTGGATCACAGGGTAATATTATTTTTAATATTTCTGGAAACCTCCGTACTGTTTTCTATAGTGGCTGCACCTTTTTACCTTCCCACCAACAGTATACAAAAGTTCCAATTTCTTCACATTCTCGCTAACATTTTTCTCTGGTGGTTTTTTTAAAATAATAGCCATCCTAGTAGGTGTGAGACTATCTGATAATTAATGATGTTGAGTATCTTGTCACATACCAATTGGCCATTTGTATGTCTTGTCTGGAGAAATGTTTATTCAAGTCTTTTGTCCATTTTAAAATCAGGTTATTTGTGTTTTCTTTGCTATTGAGTTGTAGGAGTTCCTCATATATTTTCAATATTACCCTCTTATTAGATATATGGTTGTATTATTTTCACGCAATCCATAGCTTGCCTATTTTAAGTATCTTTTTTTTTGTAAATGGAATTGTTTTCTTAAGTTCCTTATCAGATAGTTTATTGTTAGTGGACAGAAAAATAACTGATTTTTGTACATTGATACTGTATCCTTCAACTTTACTCAGTCTGCTTATTAGTTCTAACAGTTTCTTTGCGGAGCTAGAATTTTCTGTGTATAAGATAATGTCATTGCAAGCCAGGATAATTTCACTTTTTTTTGCCACTGGAATAAGTTCTTTATACTTTTTAACTTTTATTTTAGGTTCAGGGGAACGTGTGAAGGTTTGTTATTTAGGTAAACTTGTGTCACGGGGGTTTGTTGTACAGATTATTTTGTCATCCAGGTATTAAGTTTAGCACCCAATCATTATTCTTTTTGCTCCTCTCCCTCCTCCCAACCTCCACCCTCAAGTAGACTTCCGTGTCTGTTGTCTCCTTCTTTGTATTCATGAGTTCTCATCATTTAGCTCCCACTTGTAAGTGAGAATATATGGTATTGGGTTTTCTGTTCCTACATTAGTTTGCTGAAGATAATGGCTTCCAGCTCCAACCATGTTTCCCATTCTTTTTTTTTTTTTTTTTTTTTTTTTTTTTTGAGACGGAGTCTCGCTCTGTTGCCCAGGCTGGAATGCAGTGGCGCAATCTCGGCTCACTGAAAGCTCCGCTTCTCAGGTTCACGCCATTCTCCTGCCTCAGCCTCCCTAGTTGCTGGGACTACAGACGCCCGCCACCACGCCAGGCTAATTTTTTTGTATTTTTAGTAGAGACGGGGTTTCACTGTGTTTGCCAGGATGGTCTCAATCTCCTGACCTTGTGATCTGCCCGCCTCAGCCTTCCAAAGTGCTGAGATTACAGGCGTGAGCCACCACGCCTGGCCAATCCCATTCTTTTTTATGGCTTCAAAGTATTCCATGTTGTATATGTACCACATTTTCTTTATCTAATCTGTCACTGATGGGCATTCAGGTTGATTCCATGTCTTTGCTATTATGAATAGTGCTGAAATGAATATACGTATACACATGTCTTTATGATAGAATGATTTATATTCCTCTGAGTATATACTCAGTACTATGGGATTGTTGGGTTGAATGGTAGTTCTACTTTTAGCTCTTTGAGGAATTGCCATACTGCTTTCCACAATGGGTGAACCAATTTACACTCCCATCAACAGTGTATAAGTGTTCCATTCTCTCCACAATCTTGCTAGCATCTGTTACTTTTTGAGTTTTGCATAATAACCATTCTGACTGTTGGGAGATGATGTCTCCTTGTGGTTTTGATTTGCATTACCCTAATGATTAGTGATATTGAGCTTTTTTTCATACACTTGTTGGCCTCATTTATGTCTTCTTTTGAAAAACGTCTGTTCATGCCCTTTGCCCACTTTTTAATGGGTTTGCTTTTCTCTTGTACGTTTGTTTAAGTTTCTTATAGATGCTGGATATTAGGCCTTTGTCAGATGCATAGTTTGCAAATATTTTCTCCCATTCTGTAGGTTGTCTATTTACTCGGTTGATAGTTTTTTTGTTTTGTTTTGTTTTGTTTTTTGTTTGTTTATGCTGCGCAGAAGCTCTTAATTTAATTAGATACAATTTGTCAGTTTTTACTTTTGTGGCGATTGCTTCTGGTGTCTTGTCATGAAATCTTTGTCCATTCCTATGTTTCAGGTGATATTGCTTAGGTTATCTTCCAGGGTTTTCAGTTTTGGGTTTTACATTTAAGTCTTTAATCCGTCTTGATTCTATTTAGTCTTTAATCTGTTTTTGCATATGGTGTAAGGACAGGGTCCAGCTTCATTCTTCTGCATGTGGTTAGCCAGTTATCCCAGCACCATTTATTGAATAGGAAGTCTTTCTCTATTGCTTATTTTTGTCATTTCTTTTCTGACTTGAATGTCTTCCATTTCTTTTTCTTGCCTAAATGCTCTGGATAGAACTTTCAGCACTATGCTGAATAGAAGTGGCTGAAGTAGACATCCTTGACTTGTTCCTGATTTTAGAGGAAAAGCTTTCAGTTTTTCACTATTGAGCATAGTGATAGCTGTGGGCTTTTCTTATATGGCCTTTATTATGTTGAGGTTATTCCTTATATTCCTAGCTTGTTAATAGTTACTACTATTAAAGGGTATTAAATCTTATCAAGTGTCTTTTCTGCATCTACTGAGGTGATAATAGAATTTTTATCTTTTCTTCTGTTAATGTGCTGCACTGTTAATGTGGTGAATATCATTAATTAATTTTTATATGCAGAACCATCTTTCTATCCCATGGTTAAATCCCACTTGATCTTATTTTGTAACTCTTAATGTTCTGTTGAATTCAGTTTTTTAGTATTTTGTTGAAGATTTTTGTATGCATGTTCATTAGAGATATAGACCCATGGGTCTCTTTTCTTATAGTATCTTTGTGTAGCTTAAGTGTCAGAATAATGCTGGCCTCATAAAATAAGTTTAGAAGTGTTCCTTTCTCTTCAATTTTTTGAAAGAGTTTGTGAAGAACTGGCATTAATCCTCCTTTAAATGTTTGTTAGAGTTTACCAGTGAAGCCATCTGGTCCTGGGCTTTTTGTTGTTGTTGTCGTTGAGAAGTTTTTGATTACTAATTGAATCTCTTTACTAGTTACAAGTCTGTTCAGATTTTCTATTTCTTCATAATGCAATTTTGGTAAGTTTTATGATTCTAGGAATTTATCCATTTCTTCTGGGTCATCCAGTTTGTTGGCATATAATTGTTTACAGTCGTCTCATGACGTCTTTTCTTTCTATGGCACACTACTTTTTTGTTTTTAGAATTTTTTATTTTTAACTTCAGTTAACGGTATGTTTTGTTTTTGTTTGTAATCCTCTGGACCATCATTTTGCAGATTGTTAATTGGTGCCTGAGTGTTAATAAATAAGGCACACAAAATGCATTCTTATGCTAATCCAGAAATTCATATACTGTTCTTTCAAATACAGTGAGGTCCTTTTGATCATTGCTTTTTCAGTCCAGGGTTGGTGTTTTGTTTTTTGTTTTGTTTGTTTTTTTTTTTTTTTTTTTTTTGAACTCCTAAAGCTTTAGTTTTTGCTTTATCCCATGACTCCTGTCCTGTTGTCAAGTATGACACAGATTCATAGATAAATCTTTGCTGAGGTACGTAATATTTATGTTTTTCACCAACTTCTCTCCTTAGAATCTATCATCACCTACAAGCTATATTGTTTTTAGTAAGAGGTAAAATGCAGATTTGGTATATTTTTCTGTATATTTGAACCAAAAGGTGAAAAATAACATGGCTCTAGCAAAAGCAATATGTATAATCACCTTAGAAGACCTATGTTAACCACGAAAAAATGGACATAGTAGCCACCCTTTGAGGAATACTATAGGAGCATTAAGGATAACCATGTGTAAATGTACAGACTCAAATTGTCATTTAAGTTTCTGCTGTTCGGGGGAAAAGGAAAAAGAAAGGGTATTTTTCATCTGGCTTGATAAACATGAAACAGGAACAGAATATGAAAAAAGAATAGAACAGTCCCCAACATATTCTATATTTCCTACAAGAACATAAGGTTGGGAACAGAAATTCTTACTGACAATAGGATTATAAAATCTGCTAAAACAAGCAATGGGGAAAGGATTCCCTATTTAATAAATGGTGCTGGGAAAACTAGCTAGCCATATGTAGAAAGCTGAAACTGGATCCCTTCCTTACACCTTATACAAAAATTAATTCAAGATGGATTAAAGATTTACATGTTAGACCTAAAACCATAAAAACCCTAGAAGAAAACCTAGGCAATACCATTCAGGACATAGGCATGGGCAAGGACTTCATGTCTGAAACACCAAAAGCAATGACAATAGAAGCCAAAATTGACAAATGGGATCTAATTAAATTAAAGAGCTTCTGCACAGCAAAAGAAACTACCATCAGAGTGAACAGGCAACCTACAGAATGGGAGAAAATTTTTGCAACCTACTCATCTGACAAAGGGCTAATATCCAGAATCTACAATGAACTCAAAAAAATTTACAAGAAAAAAACAAACAACCCCATCAACAAGTGGGCGAAGGATATGAACAGACACTTCTCAAAAAAAGACATTTATGCAGCCAAAATATACATGAAAAAATGCTCATCATCACTGTCCATCAGAGAAATGCAAATCAAAACCACAATGAGATACCATCTCACACCAGTTAGAATGGGGATCATTAAAAAGTCAGGAAACAACAGGTGCTGGAGAGGATGTGGAGAAATAGGAACACTTTTACACTGTTGGTGGGACATAAACTAGTTCAACCACTGGAGAAGTCACTGTGGCGATTCCTCAGGGATCTAGAACTAGAAATACCATTTGACCCAGCCGTCCCATTACTGGGTATATACCTAAAGGATTATAAATCATGCTGCTATAAAGACACATGCACACGTATGTTTATTGTGGCACTATTCACAATAGCAAAGACTTGGAACCAACCCAAATGTCCAACAGTGATAGACTGGATTAAGAAAATGTGGCCCTTATACACCATGGAATACTATGCAGCCATAAAAAAGGATGAGTTCGTGTCCTTTGTAGGGACATGGATGAAGCTGGAAACCATCATTCTCAGCAAACTATCGCAAGGACAAAAAAACAAACACTGCATGTTCTCACTCATAGGTGGGAATTGAACAACGAGAACACCTGGACACAGGAAGGGGAACATCACACACCAGGGACTGTTGTGGGGTGGGGAGGGGGGAAGGGATAGCATTAGGAGGTATACCTAATGCTAGATGACGAGTTAATGGGTGCAGCACACTAACATGGCACATGTATACATATGTAACAAACCTGCCCGTTGTGCACATGTACCCTAGAACTTCAAGTATAATAATAATAATGAAAATCTGCTTTATATATTGCACATTAATTAAAGAAATGTGTCTTCGTTCATTTTATTCTTCTATAACAAAATATCTGAGACTGGGTAATTTATAAAGAACAAACATTTATTAGCTCACAGTTCTGGGTTTGGGAAGTTCAATATTAAGGTGCTGGCAGGTTGTGCAATTCTGATTCCAAGATGGAGCCTTGAACACTTCTTAATCACATGATCACAGACAGAAGAGAAAAAAGAGAAAACCCACTCTCCAAATCCCTTTTACTAAGCCACTAAACCCTCCAACAAGGAGGGAGCCCTCATTCCCTAATTACCTCTTAAAGGCCCTACCTCCCAATACACTTACATTGGTAATTAAATTTTAATATGAGTTTTGGAAGGGACAAATATTCACACCATAGCAGAATGTAATATGGGCTTATTCTGAGTGCAGCGGTTTATTTGTTGGTTTATTGAGACAGGGTCTCACGCTGTCATCCAGGCTGGAGTGCAGTGGTGTGATCTCGGCTCACTGTAACCTCCACCTCCTGGGTTCAAGGGAATCTCGTGCCTCAGCCTCCCGAGTAGCTGGGATTACAGGCATGTGCCACCATGACCAGCTAATGTTTTTTTAATCTTTAGTAGAGTTGGGGTTTGCCATGTTGGTCAGGCATGGTTTCTTTCTTTTTTTTTAAATTTTAAGTTCCAGGGTACATGTGCAGGATGTGCAGATTTGTTACATAGGTAAATGTATGACATGGTGATTTGCTGCTCCTATCAACCCATTACCTAGGTATTAAGTCCAACATGCATTAGCTATTTATCCTGATGCTCTCCCTCCCCCAACGCTCACCCTCACAGAACTCAATGGGTGTTGTTCCCCTCTCTATGTCCGTGTGTTCCATCATTCAGCTCCTACTTATGAGTGAGAACCTGTGGTGTTTGATTTTCTGTTCCTGCCTTAGTTTTGCTGAGGATAATGGCTTCCTGCTCTATCCATGTCCCTGCAAAGTATGTGATCTCGTTCCTTTTAAGGGCTGCATAGTATTCCATGGTGTATATGTACCTCATTTTCTTTATCCAGTCTATCATTGATGGGCATTTGAGTTGATTCCATGTTTTTGCTATTGTGAAAAGTACTGCAATGAACATACGTGTGCATGTATCTTTATAATAGAATAATTTATATTCTTTTGGGTATATACCCTGTAATGGGATTGCTGGGTCAAATGGTATTTCTGGTTCTAGGTCTTTGAGGAATCACTAGGCTGTGGTTTATTAATTAAGATAAAACTAACACAGCTCCAGTTAGCCGAGCTTGTTGGTACATGCTTGTAATCCCAGCTACTTGGAATGCTGAGGCAGGAGAATCACTTGAGCCTGGGAGGTGGAGGTTGCAGTAAGCCGAGATCTTGCCAGTGCACTCCAGCCTGGGTGACAGAGCAAGACTCCATCTCAAAAACAAAAACAGAAACAAACAAACAAACAAACAAACAAAAAAATGAACAGATCTCCTAGCTTTCAGTGGCTTTACACACTATGTGACTGTTTCTTATTCACAAAATATCCATCTGTAGGTGTTTCGGTCAGTCATGACCCTCCTGTACATGGAGATTTAGGAACCCATACATCTTTCATCATGGCTCCACCACTGACTAGAGTCAGGGAATTCTCTACATCCCACTGGCTGTTGAAGAAGACAGATATGAAAAATGAATCCATTATTCCCCCAAACAATGTGACACACATCACTTCCACTTACATTTTATTGGTGAAAACTAGACATACAGCCACTCCTGGAGCAGTGAGCAGTGTGGGCATGCGCAAGAATTTGTCTTTATGTGGGCAGCAACTTCCATGCAACAAGTGCACAAATGATAGGGGAAACGTTAGTTTTTGGTGGACCTGCCACTGACAGAAGGAAACTATGAATGAGCTAGTCAGAAGTCATCAACAAGCCCCATTTTTATTGCCTTTTTCTATTGAAGAGTCTGGAAAGCTAATATACTCACTTTCCCAGCCTGCGCTCAGCTGGGGATGATGATGTAGCCAAGTCTTTGTCTCTCAAAAAGAAAGCTCTTTTGCCTCTTTTGTCTTTCATCCTTTTTCCTCAAATTTGGCTGAGGAGTGTGCTGGAGAGCTTTCAGTGATGAGGCAATGATCATAACCACGAAGATCCTCACAGAAGGAGTAGGAAGATGGAAAGGGTTTGAGTTGATGTCATTGTTGAAGAGTTGCAGCAGCCTTAACTGCCAACCCCTGGACCTTTTTGTTATTTGTAAAAATTAGCTAGATCCTTCTTTCTGCAAACCCCTATTTGTTGGAGTTTCTGTTAACTGCAGCCACAATCATACCTGATATAGAATTAAAGTGATTCAATAACAAAGACATGGAATCAACCCAATTGCCCATCAATCACAGACTGGATAGAGAAAATGTAGTACATATATACTGTGAAATACTATGCAGCCATAAAAAGGAACGAGATCATGTCCTTTACAGGGACATGGATGGAGCTGGAAGCCATTATCCTCACCAAACTAACATAGAAACAGAAAACCAAACACCGCATGTTCTCACTTAAAAGTAGGAGCTGAGCAATGAGAATATATAGATATTGGGAGGGGAACAACACACACTGGGGCCTGTTGGGGGTTAGGGAGGGGAGGGAGAGCATCAGGATAAATAGTTAATGCATGCTGGGTCTTAACACCTAGGTGATGGGTTGATAGGTGCAGCGAACCACCATGGCCCACATTTACCTATATAACAAACCTGCACATCCTGTACATGTATCTCGGAACTTTAAATTAAATTAAATTAAAATTTAAAAATTGTAGCAATTGTCCCATACGTGCAATTAATTTCTCTTTGGAGCAATAGAACAACTATTCTTAAAGTAAATCCTTGAAGTAACTACCTATCTTCAGGTTTTTTGTTTTTTTTTTTTTTTGAGATGGAGTCTCAGTCTGTCGCCCAGGCTGGAGTGCAGTGGCGCGATCTCAGCTCACTGCAACCTCCGCCTCCCAGGTTCAAACGATTCTCCTGCCTCAGCCTCCCAAGCAGCTGGGACTACAGGCACCCACCACCACACCCGGCTAATTTTTCTATTTTTAGTAGAGATGCGGTTTCACCACATTGGCCAGGCCAGTCTCGAACTCCTGACCTTGTGATCCGCCCACCTTGGCCTCCCAAAGTGGTGGGATTACAGGCATGAGCCACCGTGCCTGGCCTCTTCAGCTATTTTTATATCAAAAATCATTCTAAAATTCCCGCAGCCTCAAACTTCTCGGTATTCCCTGCATCAAGATCATTGAAACAATATGAATATGCATTAAGAATCCAGCTGTTTCAAGATCCCCTTTCACAATAATTAGGCAAATTACTCTCTAGATACTTAAAAACTACAATGTCTATTATTGGTATAAACAAGAAAAATATATAAGAAAAGAATAAAAGATTCAAACAACATGTGGTAATAAGACAATTATGTATCAGAAAAGGAAATATATTAGAGGAAAGGAAGCAAAAATATTTAATTGGGTGGCACAAAAGGAATGAATCATTTGGTTTCAAAGACCAGAGCTGTGAGTACATTAGGGAGAGGAAGAAAAATATAAAAAAACTAGTAGGTAGATGTGAGAATATTGAGCATGGAGGTACAGGGTAACCAAAGTGCCCTTGATTTCCAGCAGATAACAAAATAATGCCCTGGCAGGTAGGAAAGTGAGAATTAACTTATGAACAAATTGCTAAAAGATCATATGCGTTAAACTCCACACTCATCTCAGGTGCAGATATGCAGCCAGACACAAATGAGTATCACTTTCAGAAATTTTTTAAAATTAAAATGGATCTGACAGGTATGTTTCATGTATGTTTCAATTTGTCATGTAGTATTTCTGCAGAATTTTGCCACCTTGACTAAGGAAATCACCCACTTCATTTCTCGTGATGCTGATTCATTGGTTTTATTTTGGGGTCTCATAATTTACAGACTGACACGGTGTCCAGAAAAGAATTCATTCCCTTCTGATTTCTACTGCTGTCCTGAGCTTTATGCAATGATATATAAATAAAGTGTTTATTGCATGTATATTTTAAAAAATCTATACAGTTCTTCCTAACAGTGCCTCATTAGGGAAGACAAGCCCATGGTTTGGATATTAATTTCCCTGTATCTCTGAGTCAATCGATGGTTTCTCACTTCTTGTTACTATTATTTATGATCTTCCAAAGTGTAGGTCTTGAAAATTAAAACCACTGAAACATAATTTGCTGGAAAGCAATGATTCCCATAATAAAATTATTAGAGTTCTCTGACTTACAAAGTTATTGCACATTTTGTTTTCATTTTTTCTCATGTATTGTCGTCTCTGCAGGCAATTGAATTACAAAGTGTTACAGGTTTTTTTGTTTGTTTGTTTGTTTGTTTTGCCTTTTTGTGGAGAATGGGGTCTTGCTATGTTGCTCTGGCAGGTCACGAACCCCTGGGCTCAAGCTATCCTCCTCCTTCTGCTTCCCTAAGTGCTGGGATTACAGGCATGAGCCACCGTAACCGGCTGAGTTACAAAATGTGGCTTCTCCTCCCACATAACTGTTTGGTGAACAATATGAATAGATATTATCATATAATTGGGATTAATGCATAGAAATATCTGTGGCATATGGTGAATTGGAAGCTGCTTGGCAAAGCAAGTTCTGAATGTCACTTGGAAGTGGCTTATGTGCATTAAATTTATGCTTTTTGCTGAGATTTGACTGGGCAAGAAAAATATGTGCAAAAATATCATAATCTGTGACAAATTCACTAATACCTAATGGACTACGTGATTAGTTTTTCATACTCAGGTCTGTGACACAATGTAGGCAGCTCAGTAAACTCTAAAATCAGCTTAAAGCTACATAGGATACAGGATCTAATAGATCTAATGAGAGTAACTAATTTAAAGAACTAAATATAAATTTAGCATGATACTTTGCAAAATTGAAACCTAGGAATAGGGTTGCAACTAGAAAGAATACACGAGATCCACCATGAGAACCACAGGGATTTTTTATTTTAGTAGGATGACTGGAAAGATTTAGACCGGATATGTGTGTGTATGTGTGTGTATGTACATGCATGCATACACATGCATGCACACATACATATATTTTTAAAGCAAGACCATCAGTTAAATACAATCACCACCAAAGAATGGGATGAAAGTTCTCTAAGTGCATTTGATGGAGAATCTAAAGCCCAATTAATCCCAGAAGTCCACAGTATTAGGAAAGATGGTATTTATGAAGACTGTCTGTCAAAAATACATTGTCACTGTTGTTTTACCAGATATTTTACTACTCCTTTGGCCATAAATGCTTTTTTGAAATTCACTCTGAAGCACTGCAGAGAAATGTAAGCAGTGCTCAAGACCTCTAAAACAAACCAAATGTCAGGTTAAAGAGGCAAAGCTGCCTTTTTTTTTTTTTTTGAGATGGAGTCTTGCTCTGTTGCCCAGGCTGGAGCGCAGTGGAGTGATCTTGGCTTACTGCAACCTCCCTCTCCCGGGTTCAAGCAATTCTCCTGCCTCAGCCTGCCAAGTAGCTCAGATTACAGGTGCCCACCACCATGCCCAGCTAATTTCATATTTTTAGTAGAAATGGGGTTTTGCCATGTGGCACTGCCTGGTCTTGAACTCCTAACCTCACTCAAGTGATCCTTCCACCTCAGCCCCTCACAGTGCTGGGATTACACATGTGAGCCACTGCGCTTGGCCTTGGTGTACTTTTCTATCATGCATCATGTGTGCTGCTGACCTGATGATCTAGATTTAATAAAATCACAAAAACATGGAAATAATTCAATGTCAGATGAGAAGAGAAAGACTTCTTGTTTCACTTTATTGACTGGATTAGAGACAAAACCAATCAGAGGTGAAGAAGGAACCTCACACTTGGTGTAATCCCTAGAGTCTCTGAAGTCCTACTCCTTCAGCTGGATCGGTACAAGCATGCCTGCTGAGCTCAAAACCCGCCTCTGTCATAGAGAATGGGGAGTGAACCTGTACACGAAGACCCTGCCGCCTTAATCCTTTGTACCGTAGTTATTTGGGGAGAACAGAGAGCCCTAAAACCTTTTCCTCTGACTCCCCAAATACTCCCAGCCTCACCCTCATCTCCACCATCTATTCCTCTCTGTCACCTCTGTCCAACTCCTGCAACCCTTCCAATGTGTCCTCTGAATTCATAGCTCATTATCAGCAAACTCCCCTTAGTCCTTCACCTTGTCTCTACATGTTCTTTTCCCCTCTTGTATTGAGGCAAGCCTGACTCTGCTCTGAAGTGGAGGTTCTGGTTTTCTTCTACAGCCCTGATATGACTGGATGTGGAGGGGAATTAAGTATCCCTTGCTCTACAGTGCAGCTTCCAGACCATTCTTCCTCCCACCTCTCCAACTTTGAATTATATCCCATATTACAAGATGTTGTCACCTTCTATTTCTCAATGTTGTTGTTATCTATGAATCCATAATTTCTACTCTCATAACCATATGGTACCATCCACAATGGTGAGGGTAGATCTTCTTAGTATCCTGAGTAAAGCATGTATCACTCAGCATGTATTAGAAATATTATAAATAGTTGTTTACTAGGAAAATGAGAAAATGTGCATTTTCTTAAGCTCAATTCCTCTTTTAAAAGTAGTTTCAACAATAATTGGCTATACTTCCTCTAGAGGTTCCAATACATCAATAGCTTGAGTTAAGCCCCTTAAGGTATTTATGTTAAACAAACAAGAGGTTTACTTAACAAAAGCAAAACTACTTATCCATTAGTTTTGATCAATTGCCTTGTGGTCACTTTCATTAGACTGTTTAATTTGAACCACAATTAGATTTTATTCTTTTAAAAGATGAAGCCAATTCCCTAGCCATTAATTAAAGAGTCTGACTAAAGTTGACGAAATTAAAGTTGGTTACAAGATGGATGTTATATACCTTCCACTGTTGATCCAACTCAGCAAAATAGTGTACTTATCTTTTGAGAAGCAACTATTGCAACTCTAATAATGAAAACTTTAGTTTCTTCCTGGAGCAGGTGAATAAAAACTCATAAAACGCTTTCAAATGTGCTGTTAGAGCACTCTGCTCCTGGAATTCCACAAGGAATCATACAGTGTATAGCAACAAAGTACATTAATGATTTCTCCTGTTTTTTAGGCATGTAAATACACACATATGTAATGTATAAATTTATTAAAGTGGAAATACCTAAATGATGTTCCATTATTGCCTTTTCACTAAAGTAATGAATGAAATATCAGTTGTAAATGCCTCAAACTCCCAGTGACACCTTCACTTCAAAAGCAATGGCAGAGACAGCTCAAAGGAGGACAATTTTGTATCTTGGAGAGCTAGGACTTTAACAATAGCCAATAATGTTCTAGTCTCCTCTTACTGTTCAGCGGTTCTTCTACCTTTAAGAAGAAATTCAAAAGGAACATTCCCTGGGTGACTAAATTATCCAAAGGAGAGGGATGAGGTTGACAGAGAATTTAAATTACTAAAAAAGATTACACAATCACATCCAAAAACACCTGTATTTGCATAACACGTTATTTGCTTAAAACAAAAAACACAGCCAGGCGTGGTGGCTCACACCTGTAGTCATAGAGCTTTGGGAGACTGAGGCAGGTGGATCACGAAGTCAGGAGCTTGAGACCAGCCTGGCCAACATAAAAATACAATAAAATTACTACTAAAAATACAATAAAAATTAGCCGGACATGGTGGGAGGCACCTGTAGTCCCAACAACTTGGGAGGCTGAGGCAGGAGAATCGCTTGAACCCGGGAGACAGAGGTTGCAGTGAGCTGAGATCGCGCCATTGCACTCCAGCCTGGGTGACAGAGTGAGACTCCGTCTTAAAAAAAAAAAAAAAAAACCAACCAAACAAAAAACAACAAACACTTAAATATTAAACTCCTATATGATGCCATTTCTCTTAAATAGTGAAAGCTTCTTCTTTGCTAACCTCAGAGAGGCAGGGTATAAGGCACTGATAAAGACCATAGGCACAGGTGTCAAACTCCCTGCTCTTTCTTTCACTGCTAGTACAAGGACTTGACAATCCTGTGTATCCCACTCAACCCTGCTGGACTCCTATCTGCAAAATGTGTCTTCTCATAGGTTTCTTGTGAAATTTGGAAGACATTGTCATGCAAAATGTCAAGCACATATTAAGTACCCAGCATGTTTTATCTTTTCTTAGTACTTGTGGTTCTCCCATTATTACACAAAGAGTTATGTAGCATTGAGCGACCTGTCTACCCTTGTTTGTTTGTCATCAGTGGGAAGAGCAGCATGTCATCTTTTCTATGCCAATTCAGGTGGAAGTTCTGGGGTAGGCGAGAAGATGGAGAAAAGGTGCAGAACAAGTCAATGTTAGGGGAAAATTCCCAATGCAGCGCATGGGATTACTATACTTGTGTTGCAGCATTAAAACTGGGGCTCTGAAGAGGAAGAGGCATGGCTGTCATGAGGGAGAATACTTACCCTAGTCCTTAGTAAGGTCGGGTTGAATTCCTGATTGAAGCCAAGCACGCAGTTAAAGGGATTATTGAATACCTTCAGAGCATTCAGAGTTACGTGCAAAGCAAGTCTTCTGTTCCAAGTTTGGATCGAAACCATCCCAGTACAAAGAAAAAGAAAAGAAAACAGGCATCAAACACATAACTTTAGATTATCCAGTATCCATCCCTCTCTTCTGGCCACAGTAATTGGTCCAAGGGAAGGACAAACACCCAGGCCAGGACAACAAGGCTCTCCCCCTTGCAGCTGGTCTAGAGAAGCTTCCATCCTCACTGGTTATGAAGCTGAATGTCTGCAATCCCAAAACCACTGTCAGCTGTGACCTCTGCCAAATGGAGGGAGGTGGTGTGAATGAACGAAGTTGACACAGACAGGGATGATGAGAGTTCTGGTAACGGTAGAGTTTCTGTTTCCAATCATCCCTACTCTTGACCCAAGCTAAGATTGTTCAGGTTTTGAATCTTTTAGCTACCCCTTCAACCTTCTAATAACCTTTTGCAGTCCCCTGATCTTCCTCCCACTATGTAGGTAAGTTGATAGGTGCCATTAGAAATGAAAAGATGTGCTGGGCATGGAGGCTCATGCCTGTACTCCCAGCACTTTAGGAGCCTGAGGCCAGAAGATCACTTGAGACCAGGAGTTCAAGACCAGCATGGGCAACATAGTGAATTCCTGTCTTTACAAACAAATACAAAAACTAGCCAGGTATGGTGGTTTGCACCTGTAGTCTCAGCTACTGGGGAGGCTGAGGTGGGAGGATCACTTGACTACAGGAGGTCAAGGCTGCAGTGAGCTGTGATCATGTTACTGCACTCCAGCTTGGTTGACAGAGTAAGATCCTGTGTCAATAAAAATAAAAATTAAAAAAAGATATGAAAACCTTAAAATTGTCTACTATTTATTGAATTGCTAAGGTCTTTAAATAAATCATCTTCCTTATTCTTCACAAAAATTCCAGATAATGTTGTAAAGAGGGAACTGGGACACAAAGTGATTAAGTGACTCATACACATAGCTACTAAGTGGAAGAATAACAATTCAAACCCACATCTGTGTAACTCTAAAGTCCATGTTGTTGAGACTACAAGTAATAATGAAATGGAGCATAGCCATCTACTGAACTAACTGAAAGTCTTTAAAATAAAATTATAAATAAAACACCGTCTTCAATGAAAGTAAGTTAGAGCTGGCACAGAGAAAAAATAATATTTTTGAAATTTAGTGCAATTTAGAACAAACTGAGGAATGATACAGGAAGTGATGTAAATGCAAATGTAGATATTGCTAAAAGTAAATGATATGTTCATAAAAGATGCAACTAGTATTTAATTTTGGGGGCACAAAAAAGTCATGAATGGACTGAAGACAAACATTCCTATAAAAACTTACTTTGATACCATGGAAAACAAAAGCTCATAGAACCAAAAAGAGAAATGGACTAATTTCCAATCAAATCATGCACAGGTCCTCGAAAAATATTTCATTCAATGTCGTTTTGTCATAACTTTAATGAGAAAAAAATGATTCCCAGTTGATAAAAGTAATTTCATTATACATCTTTCTGCTTTAAGTCACAGTTTTCAAGAAACTATCCATGACATTACGTGAGGACTTACTGTAGTTGGAAACTTTAATTCATTTTTCTTGATAGCTGACATAATAAAAAGAAAAGATCAGAAAGGATATAGAAGATCTGGACAACACAATTACTAATCTTCACCTGATAGACATACATAGAACACATAACTCAGTAATCATTTTTTACGAATGTGTATGGAATATTTTCCAGAACAGATCACACACTGGACCATAAAGAAAGACTCAATATATTTCAATGATTGGCATGACGCAGAATATTTTCCCTAATTTGCAGTTGAATTAAGCTAGAAATCAATAACAAATACATAAGTAAAATTCCCAACTACCTGGAAATTACATAAAAACTTTTAACATATTATAGGCTGGGCACGGTGGCTCATGCCTGTAATCCCAGCATTTTGGGAGGCCGAGCTGGGCAGACCGCAAGGTCAGGAGATCGAGACCGTCCTGGCTAACACAGTGAAACCCCATCTCTACTAAAAATACAAAAAATTAGCTGGGTGTGGTGGCGGGAACCTGTAGTCCCAGCTACTCGGGAGGCTGAGGCAGGAGAATGGCGTGAACCCTGGAGACGGAGCTTGCAGTGAGCCGAGATTGGGCCACTGTACTCCAGCCTGGGCAACAGAGCGAGACTCCGTCTCAAAAAAAAAAAAAAAAAAAAAACCAGAAAAAGCCTTTAACATATTATATAGAACTTCATATAGAGAGGACCCTCCCAAAGCTTTCATTAAAGTGTTATCTGAACATTCATTAAACATATTTATATATTGGATGACAAAGTAAGCAAATTCAAAAAAGAAATATAATTGATTACATTCTTTTTAATATAGAAATTGGCAGTGCATTCAGCAGTCCTGTGAATCTGTCTCTTGCTTCAACAGTGTTTGGAAGGAATAGATTCTCTCTCTCTTCCAGCCCCCAACCACCCTCCAATCTCTTCTTAACTTGCAACCTCCGGGACCATCTTCTTGGCCGTCTCCTGGTCTGGGACCACCCAACATCGTTTTTGATGTTAGCTCCTTCTTGCTGACCAACTGTGAACTTCCACATTTCTCAGTTATTCCACTGAGGTGGAAGTAGCTGTCACCTGCCTGGTCAATTTGCATCTGTGGGCTTCCTTACACCTACCTCTCTCTGGGCTTCTATCTTGAAGATGCAAAACCAGGGCGGCAGCCACACTGCATTCCAGGAAGGGCAGAAGCTGTCTTAAGATGAGTGGGGTAAATTGCTGGACCCCATGAAAATCACCATGGTTCTAGAGAAGAACTGAACCAGGCCCTTTTTGATTTTCATGCCCTGGGTTCTGCCCGCACAGACTGTGAGGGCAGAGGAAGTGAGGAAGTAAGATTCATCAAGGAGATAGGTGGACCTGACTAACCTCTGCAGACTCTCTGGCCCCGAGGCCAGACTGGGCAAGTATGTCTTCAAAAGTCTCACTCTCAAAGCACAACTAGGAGCCTCCTGAGCCCAGTGACTTCCGAAGGGCCCTTCTCAAAGAATCAGGGCTGAGCTTCTTTCTGCCTGAGCTTCTTCATTCAGCCACTAGCCAGCCTTTTAACAATCTTGGAGCCCTCTCCCAAGCCTTGGACCAAATGAAAATAAAGTTTTTTGCAGCAAAAAAACAAGAGAATAAAAGATAGAAACCAATCACAAAAACATAAGAAAACCCCATCCTGGAATGCTGAATATTTTCTAAATTTTAAATAGCTTTGGATTAAAAGAGGAAACAAAAATGCAATTGCAAGCAACATAATTCAAGGCAAATGGAATAATGTCTAAAGAAGTGCTTTGAGAAAATTTAATAGCCTTTTAATAGTTACTAAAAACTAAAGAATAAAAATAATTAAATATCTAACACAAGATGCTAGAAAAGGACCAAGTAAATTTACAGAAAAAATAATAAAGAAAAATAATTTAAGAGCAAACAACAGCACTTCAAAATTTGTTAATAAGATATATCTCATGTTGTGTTCTTACTATACACACACAAAAAGGGGGAATACAAGGCAACGTTGGGAAGAGTTGTATTTGTCTATTACCTCTGTTGTGGTGCTGGTATTATGGATGTTTGCACGTGTCCAAACTCACCAAATTGTACACATAAAACACATGGCAGTGCTTTTATGTCAATTATACCTCAAAAAAGACATTACAAAAATAAGCACAAACATGCAAACAAACAAAAAACCCAAAACACTAGAATAAATAAATTCAACTGTTTTCCTGGGTTGGGAGTGGTAGAGAATAGGCAAACCAC